>NC_000001.11:203184587-203336102 GCF_000001405.40 Homo sapiens
AAGTTCCATCCTCCGACAGACAAGAGAGTCTTCAGGTTGGGGTTCCTGTGGAGCACAGGGAGGTGGGGAGGGCAGGAGTGGAATGACATTGTCATGACACTGGGTGGCCCCATGTCTGAGAGGCCATAGAAGGTTTCCTGCTTTGGGTGAGAGGCTGGGTTAGGCCGCTGATGTCCTCCCATAGGACATCATGGGAATCCCATAGAGATTCATAGTGGTGGATCTCTGAGGGGTCACAGGCTTCATGGGAGTTACTCTGAGGTCTGCTGCCCATTTTTGTTTTCCCCAGTGGAGAAGACAGAGTATGGCAAAGTAGAGTCTTGCTCATTTTCCATGCTCCCTGGAGAGCACGTTAGGGGCAGGAGAGGGTTCCCCTCTCCCAGAGGGGCTCAGCTGCGCTTCCGTCTACAGTCTCTCATCACCCCAAATATTGCCCAGCACCTACAGTCATCCCCTCCACCCATTTAAGCCAAGCCCCTCTAACTCTCCAAACATAGGTGAGCAGGGTGGGGCCTCGCCCTTCCTCCTGGGTGGGGTTGCCCTGCCCTGGGACCAGCCCAGCTGGTCCCTCCTCTCCTGGCCAGCCCTGGCCCAACCTGTTCTTGAGTGTGTTGAGCATGCCGTAGAGCGTCACATCATTCCACTCCCAGGTGTCGATGTGATCGTTGCTTATATTGGCAAAGCTGTAGATGATGTGGGTACAGAGGAAGCGGTCAAGGGCATCTGGGAAGCAGCTCCCATCGCCTTCCCGGTACTGGGACCAGCTGGTGTAGTAGCAGACCAGTTTGTATGCAGAGCCTGAAGGAGAAGTCTGGGATGGGGCCCGGGCCAGGATTCGGCAAGAGACCTCAGGCTGAGCCCAGAGCTGAGCACCAATGGGGTGTGGGGTTGGGTAGGGAGGAGTGGGGTGCAGATTGTGAGCAAAGTCAGAATTCTTAAATGAAAGGAGCTGGTTCAGGTCCCCCTGCCTCTGGGGAGTTCCCTGACTGGTGAAAATAAGGCCTATTCTGAAAATGCTTAGAAAAGATCCAATGCAGGGGATGAATACGCTACAGGCACTGTGTGGGGGAAGGGTAGGAGCTGGGGAATAAGGATGAAATGGGACTTGGTGCCAGCACAGCAGGCTTCCTGGAAGCAGTGGCTTTGTGGGAGGGGAAGGCCCAAGATAGCCTGTGTCACAGATGGCCCTGGCTTTCAGGCTGGCACCTTTAGTGACCTGCAGTGAGGTCCTTCATCCATGAGGGACTCTGGCCCACCTTTCTCTGCCTCCTGGTGAGAGTGCCTCTAACTTGTAACCCACCCGGAATGGCAGTCCTGTGCTCCCTCGGCATGTCCCCCAGGCTGGGGCACAATATCACAATGGACCAGGAAATCCTTCCTCGCCTCTAATTCTGTTTCTCCTGCTGCAAACAATGTGGGCATCACTCATCCAAGCAGCTACTGGGCAACTGTACTAGCGGCTCCCAGGGGCTGTTAGTCAAAGCCTTCACTGAACCAGGACCTTTTAAAGTTTCTTATTTTGAGAATTTTCACATATACCAAAGAGTATAGCAAAATAAACATCCATATACTCCTCACTCCAGTTTAGCAAACGTGACTATTTCGAAGTCATTGGAAGCACAGAAGAACCTGGCAAAGTGTTCCCTTGGAGCTAAGACCTCCTCCACACCTGCCCTGTGCCCTCGCCACGCCTCTGGACTTAAAAGTGGAGGTGGAGGGATTACTCACAGCACTGGAGCAGCACCAGGACCACAAAGCCTGAAGAGAAATCCAGGATGAGACCCCTGCAAGTGCATCCTGCCCTTCCGCCCTGCTCCCTCCCCCAAGCAACTGAGACCCACCTCCCCCACCCCCACCTCCTGGTTGCAGCCTCAGTCCCTCCCCTGGCTCTGCTTCTCCTCCCCCTCTGCCCACTCCCTTAGTCCCTCACCCAGCAGGCAGATGGCTCTGCGGGCTGTCTGGGCCTGAAAACCCACAACTCTGATGGATTAACCTTGGCTAGCCCAGATACCTGTTTGAGACGCCTTCACACCCATTCTGGCTGCAGCAGAGCAGGGCAGGGTGTGGCCTCTTCCCTTGCCCACGGCTCCTGGTGCCAGCTACCTAGACAGGGCCTCTTCCCCAGGCCCTGTACTTCCTTTATATACCTGTCCCACTCCACTCCCCGACGCGGCAAACCAGCCCTTTTATGGGAACTGAGCTATGTGTCAATGAAGGAATCACGAGGCTGGCAAGTGGAGGCGGGGGAGTACTATGGATTACCAGAGGAGGGTTGAGAAACCGCAGAGTTTTGAAAACTTTGGGTCAGGTCTTCATGAGGCACCTGCCAGCAGAAGAGCCACTAGGGTGATGATGGGGGGCTTCTGGAGATGTGACTCAGCCGCATTTCCCAGCCTTCCTCCCACTCCTGCACCCCACCACTGGCCTTTCTTGCCAGCAATTTCCTGGCTTTTCTGGCAGCCTCTACCTTTGCATCTTCAGCATTCACTCCAGGCCCCTGGCCAGGTGGAAACTGGGCACAATTTAGTTACGTAAGCCACAGTGCCCTAAACAAGGCTGTTGTTTTCTTCCCAGGCTCAGCATTGCCCTGCTTGACCTACCTTCCTACCCTCCCCCTCACACTTTCTGTCTTCAGGCTGGGTAAGGGCCAGAGAGCCTCGGGAGGAAGGAAAGCAAAGAGCCTGAAACTGAGCGCTCCCTTTTGGGCCCGTGTCTTTTTTTTTTTTTTTTTTTTTTTTTTTGCAATTTACATGCTGATTATTTAGAGGGAAAGACAGGGAAATTCCCAAGAATGCTTTAAGCCCCGGTGCTATTTTGCTTCTGTTTTGAAATTCCCATAAAGAGAGAGGATCTTTTGCAAGCTCGGTGCTGCAGTGAGGCACCATGGAGGAAATACAGGCCCTACGGGGCGGCTGCACGAGCATCTGACATCAGTCAGCTCCCCAACTCTCTCAGTGAGGCTTTGGAACCCAAGCCTGATGATACAGCCCCTCTCTAAATCCTTCAGTGATCTCTCATCACTCCTAGGACAAGAACAAAACTTCTTAACGAGGCTCCCTGCCTGATTACGTCCCTGTTTGTGGATACATTTTTTTTTTGGCCAAATATCCAGGACAACTCCATTCTTTGCAGGCTTAACATTAATTAATAGGCAGTGAGTGAAAAGTTCAGAACTCCAAGAGGCAGAATGGGTCCAAGGGCTTCTCAAGAAAGTACCTTTATTTTTCACTAATGTTAGGTAATACTCTAATTTTTCCAGGCTGGTTTTGCAGCTCTCTCGGTGAGGTCTCTCTGCTCTCTCCCTCTTCTCTCCCTCTCTCCCTTTCTCTTCCTTTAAAACTCAGCCAGTGCCTTCCCTTCATTGTAAGAGAGGTGGACAAAAAGTGGCTTGTCCAGAATCACGCTCGGTGAATACTAAAGAGGCATCACTTTTCCTTTTTAAGATGACTGCCTCCTTTTGTACCCAAGATGATTGACAGCAATGACAGTCAATGATAGCTTCTTCTGGTTCATTTGGGGCACTGAGAGGAGGACTTCTAATTTCTAATAGTGATATTATGAAGTGGCATGCAGATGCAAAATTTTTCATCACAGAGCACAGGATGTTAAGAAAACACCTCCTATTTTCACTATCTCCCTTTGTTAAAAATTATTTCATAGGCTTAGATTGGCCCAAGCCTTGTTGTCCTATGCTCCCTCAAGCTCAGTTTATTAATTCCACATGCTCTGCCTGAAGGCAGCTTTGTAACAACAAATGGCCAAGATACCCCCAGGCCTGTGTTAGCAGGATTGGCCAAGGGTCTCATAGGCTCACCACCTCCCAGCCTTATCTCAGGCCATGACCCCCACCCTCCCTATATTCCACTCATGCTTATATGTCTTCTTTTAAATCCTTATATTTGCTCTACTGACTCCCGCCACAGGGCCTTTATATATGACATCCACTTGCCTGTAAATAACGATGAAAGATCTGAGATTTTATGCTACTTGCAAATTAATGACATAACTACAGTTTCGTGGATGTTGGCAGAAGACACGAGACTCCTAGGTCAGAGACAAAGGACTTTATTATCCATGGTACAGCAAGCAGCATGAACTTCATGTTAGGGTCAGTTCCCCTTAGCCCTCAGGTCTCACAAGGGCAGTGTTGGAGGAGCCCAGGTAGATGCCATGAATGCAATGAGTTACATCACAGCAGAGGAATCCCTAGTTTAAGGAACTCAAATCTTTCATGATGAGCAGTAAGCCTTCCTCACCTTGGCCAGCCCAAGATAAGGGAGACATTATCTTTATTACTGGACAGTAAACAAATCTGCCTTTTGGTCTGGAGGGGGGACGCTATTTCTATCTTCCAAGGCTGTTTGCTGTACAAACATCACTAAAAAGATTGCCTAGAACAAAGAAGCCAGTGCCTCTGCACATAAGCTGTGCAGGAAATGCAGGCAACCCATGGAGAATTGCGGTTGGAGAATTGCGGATGGAGAATTGCAGCCTAACACTGCTCTTCTTTGACTGCTTTATTCTTCCTCATCCTTCAGATTGCAGCTCAGGAGTCACCTTGTCTGCAGAAAAGGCAGTCTCCAGGTGACAGAAAACCCGCTATAGGGCTGTCAGAGCACTTTGTACCTCTCTCCTTAACACCTGACTCAGTTATAATTTTATATGTTGTGTGTGGCAGTGGATGTTTTGTTTGCCTCTCTCACTAGACTATAAACTCAGTAAAGGCAACGGCTGGGTCATTTTATCCACCTTTGTATCTATCCCCAGTGCTTGAGACATAGTAGATGCTCAGTAAAGTACTCGTTGAATAAATGAACAAATGATCTCAAAATGGTGCATAACTTCACACTCTTATGAGTTTAAACCCTGATGTTCTCAAAATTTCATCTCATTCAATAGTTTTTGTTACCCTGTGAAGAACTGACTCAGGAGGTGCCATAAAACCACAAAACAAGCTTCCTGACTTAATTTCCCTAATCAAACATTTCTAGGCCCCACAGTACATTGATAGTGTTCAACCAATGTTTATTAAGTAAGTGTACTAGAGTAGTTGCCTTCCACTGAGGTAGACAGTAGAGACAGAAAGGTGAATGGGAACAGAGAGGCAGTCCCTGTCCTCATGAAGCATACAGTCTGGCAAAGAAGATGGACATTAAACAAAGAAAAGCAAGTAATGTATTACGAAGGAAGGGCAGGTGTTAGTCTGCCCCTTGCCCACCGTCCCCTACACACAAAAAAAATTGTGCAAAAACCTGGAGCAGGAAGAGGTTGTTATGTTCAGGAACCAGAAGAATTCAAGAGTGGTTGAGGCATGGAATTAGCAGGAGGGAGCTCGAGGGAGGCACAAGATGAGTCTGGATCAGGAGCCAGAGGGTGGACATTACCACCATTCAGAAAACAAGCTCCTGGGAGCCTGGGCTGGCCCCTTGGGCACAGTGGTTTTGAGGATTCCTTCATTTTGCATGGCGTGTCAGAGCAAACAGAGGTGGTGTTGATGCCCCACCAAATGCTTGAGGAGAATTCTCTCTTTTACAAGTAGTCTCTTCCTCCAGAGGGTGGACTTCTGCCAGGCAGGAATTCAAATCATCTCCAAATCCTCAGCTCGGTGGTGGTGCTGGCGCACAGTAGAAGCTGTCGAAGACTCAGAGGCAGAAACACTTAGAGAAGAAAACAGTTGCTTGTGAAAAGCGGAAGCGAGTCAGATTTCAGAATGGCTGGCTCGTCAAATGCAAAATGCAACAAGTATTTGAAGGGGAAAAAAAAATGACCCAAGGTTATCACGTTTGGTGGAGATCAGCATCATTTTTACAACACATCTTCACTTATCAGCATAGCAAAAATCAGGGATGAAATTGTTTTTTTCGGGGAATTTTTTTTCTTTTTGAGACAGAGTCTCACTCTGTCACCCAGGCTGGAGTGCAGTGGCGTGATCTGGGCTCACTGCAGCTTCGACCTTCTGGGCTCAAGCCATCCTCCTGCCTCAGCCTCCCAAAGTGTTGGGATCAATGGCGTGTGCAACCACACCCAGCTGGGAATCCAAATTTATGGGAAATAGCCAAGGCTTATTATTTTGGTGTCTTAAACCACTCAGGATAACCTATTATTCTTGGCTTATCTCCAGATGCAAATTATTCCCATCCCCACCCCGCAGTGGTACTTGGTCATGAATGAAGCCAGTAGAGTGAAGAGTTGGGCTTTGCGTCTACGGATTTTCCTTCCTTGTGGGCAAGTCCTTGCCATTGAGGCATGGGTTGAACCGTATATGTTGCTTAATAACTTCCTGATGCAGCATCATCAAATTGATATTTTGTTTTATTTGACCAAAATTTATTTCTATTGACATAACAGGAGGTGTTGATGAAATAAATACTTTCTTTTTGTATGGCTAGCGAAACCAGAGCCACATGATAGTGATGCTTTACAGTGAGCTTCTGTCTGGAGGCTTTGTAAAGCCCCTAGGGCTGGGAAGAAATTACTTTTATGTGTGAAGTATTATATCAGCACCATTTTCTCTAAGATTCCCATATGTGTTAATATTCCTAGACTGCCAGGAAATGTAGGTTTTATTTATTTATTTATTTATTTATTTATTTATTTATTTTACTACCTCTAAGGCTGCAATGTCATCAGTTCTAAAGCCATACCAGAGTTTTCTAGAGGACTTCATAGGTGTCATTTCCACATGTAAAATGTAGTCTTTATTCCTTAATAGTGGCTTATCATATAACAAAAATTCTTTGCTTGGCCAAATTTCAGGCGGGCTTCTGAATCTTCTCCTAGGCCCATCTGTGCACTTCCTTGTAAAATCCAGTTTTAGCAAAGAGCCCTGCTAAGTCAATTTAGCAAGAACCCCCTACCCTCAACATCTGAATACCTTGACATCTGACCAGGTTCCTTGTCCTTTATCATGCCCCAGGGGATGTCTGACCACCCTGGCCTGTCTGCAGCAAGAATCCTGTTAAGTCTGTTTAGCCAGAATCCCCCTTACTCCTGTTTCCTCTTAGTAACTTCTGTCTACAGACCCCCTGGTCCTTAGCTACTGATTTCCACTTGCCCATGCTGTATTTAGAGTTGAGCCCAATCTCTCCCCCCAACTGCAAGACCCCATTGCCCTGGTTCCTGTACCTGTCATAATGATCTTGGATAAAGACATCCTTACATACTTCAACAAGTGGCATTGGATAATTTTTTTCTTTAACACATACCTAATTAAATGGAATTTTGGCATGGTCAGTATCCAATTATTTTCTGGTAAGAAAAAGGACAGATTCTCATTGGATCTATATAAATAACATGATCATAAACATTCATTCTATCTAGAAGTGAATAAGCTATATTAATTTGGTTCCAATTTTCCCCCTCAAATGTATAACATAGGATATTTGATCATAAAAAGTAAAGGAACTTGTAAAAGCATGGGTAAGAGGAGAAAACATAAACTGTGCTTGTTCTGTTCTCTCACTCAACACAATGACCACCATCAACACAGGAGACTTCTGCCACCAAATGTGTGGGTCTCTCCCCATCACCAAGCAAGCATTTGCAATGGACACCAGCTGGGTGTCCTCCAGTTCAATTCTGATGCTCTCGGCCTGCAGAGAGCATCAGATCCCACAGGTTGAGGGCTCATTCCTACAAGACTGCCGCCCCTTCAGGCATCAACCACAAGTCTGGGCCTCTGGAACTTTTGACTGACCAGCTTCAAGTTGGGGTTCCCACATTCACCTCTTTAGGTTTAATTTGTTAGAGAGGTTCACAGAACTCAGGGAAACACATTTACCGGTGCATTATAAAAGATATTACAAAGTACACAGATGCTGAGATACACAGGGCGAGGTATGGGGAAGGGGCTTGGAGCGTCCATGCCCTCCTTGGGGGTGCCGCTCTCCAGGAACCTCCACATGCTCAGCTACCTGGAAGTGCTCTGTACCCAGTCATCGTGGGCCTTTATGGAGACTTCACTGGGTAGTCATGATTGACAACCATGTAGAAATGTGATTGGACAAGAAGGGTGTGGTCTAATACTAATAGACGCAATAGGGAAACCCAGCAAGGGCTGTCTGTTCAGATTCTTATTGGCCTCTATGCAGCATTCCTTCTTTCAGGGAACTGGGCAAGACTCTCTTTTGAAACAGGGGTCTTATGACCTACAATCCGACAAGGTAGGTCAGGGGATTTCTTTATGACCAGAGAAGGGGAAAGGTTAGAGTATATTTTTATTGTCTAAGGCCTGCTTCTGAGGCCTAAGACATCCCAACATTAAACACAAGATTGTTACAAGGGCTGCGGGAGTTATGAGTACTGTTCTGTAGACAAGTCCGATCAATACAGGTCATTATAATCTGATCAGGCTGTACAGTGAACTTCTGTCCGGAGGCTTTGTAAAGCCCTTAGGGCTAGGAAGAAATTGCTTTTATGTGTGAAGTATTATATCAGTGCTATTTTCTTTAAGATTGCCATGTTTGTTAATATTCCTAGCCTGCCAGGAAATGCAGGGTTTTTTTCTTCTTTTAAAATTGTCCTGATGATATATTAGTTTATAATCTATATTAAGATTTCCCATGGGATTTTTTTTCCTTTTGAAATTTGAAAGTTCAAGTGGGACTAAGTGACATTTAAGGAGTGCGCCCATGTGCTGTACGTATAAAAACCAACACTGGATTTGAAGACATAGGTTGGAAAAAAAAAAGGTTAGCTATCTCATTAATAATTTATAGATTGACTACATGTTGAAATGTTAATATTGTGGGTATATTGGGTCAAATAAAATATATTATTAAAATCTTTTTAAAAAGAGTGCCTTACTCCAGTATGTGTAGGTATAATATGTTAAATTGAAAATGAGAGATAGAGTAAGCAGATTTTTTTCTGATATTAATTAAAATATAATATCGATCATAATGAAACCAACACTTATTTCACTTAGTCCTAGGTAATTCATTTTTGTTTTGTTGGTCTTGGGTTAGGTAGACCAAACTTTCTTCTATAAAATTGTATGCTTTCTGATCAGCTGCTCTCACTCTCTATGCAACTACTCAACATGGCCCTTGTAGCAGGAAAGCAGCCGTGAGAATACTGACCCAAGGAGCATGACTGTGTTCCAATAAAACTTTATTTAAGGCCGGGCGCGGTGGCTCAAGCCTGTAATTCCAGCACTTTGGGAGGCCGAGACAGGCGGATCACGAGGTCAGGAGATCAAGACCATCCTGGCTAACACGGTGAAACCCCGTCTCTACTAAAAATACAAAAAATTAGCCGGGCGTGGTGGCGGGCGCCTGTAGTCCCCGCTACTCGCGAGGCTGAGGGAGGAGAATGGCGCGAACCCGGGGGGCGGAGCTTGCAGTGAGCTGAGATCACGCCACTGCGCTCCAGCCTGGGCGACAGAGCAAGACTCCATCTCAAAAACAAAAAACAAACAAACAAACAAACAAAAAAACAACTTTATTAAAAAAATAAAATAAAAACAAAACCTGACAGCCAGTTTTCTGACCCTTATTCTAGAGTCTAGACCAAAACCACTCTAGAGAATCTGAGTCAGTCCCTTGGTTCAGTCGAACAGGTCCAATGCCAGCTTATAGAGGGAAGTCCGTATCCATGGGTGTTTATGTCCTGTGATATCAATAGTCCTGATCTTTAGCTTGTAGCAGGAACATTTAGTATATGGAAGGAAAACGGAAATATTACCCATGTATAATAAAATTAAATGGTTCTGGTTAATCAGCTAGAATGGAGGAGAATGGAGTCTTTTATTAAGGTATAATGTGCAATCGATTTGTATGAGAGAGTGGGACATTAACAAATCTCCAGGGCCTTAATTTTATCTTTATGGGTAAGAATGTCACCAACTGACAAGGATATTTAAACCTAGAGACAACATTTGAAATAAATGACATATGATAAGACACATAATTAAGCCCCATTAGGTCTTTTAGGAAGAAGCATCATTGTTGAAAATCTGAGTAATTTGGAGATCTCCTTCTGAATTTAGCAGCACGATCTCTCTCTTTTTATGTCCCTATCCTTGCAATAATGCTCCCTTTTAACCTCATATAAAAATTTCTGAAGACATTATTTTTAAATCATTTAATTTATTATTATTATTATTATTATTATTTTGAGACAGAGTCTTGCTCTGTCACCCAGGCTGGAATTCAGTGGTGTGATCTCGCCTCACTGCAGCCTCCACCTCCCAGGCTCAAGCAATTCTTGTGCCTCAGCTTCTTGAATAGCCAGGATTATAGGTGTGCACCACCACACCTGGCTATTTTTTTTTTTTTTTGTATTTTTATTAGAGGCAGGGTTTTGCCGTGTTGGCCAGGCTAGTCTTGAACTCCTCCTGGCCTCAAGTGCTCAACCCACGTCAGCCTCCCAAAGTGCTGGGCTTACAGGAGTGAGCCACCACGCCTGGCCTAATTAATTTTTGAGACAGGGTCTCATTCTGATGCCTGGCCGGAGTGCAGTGACACAATCACCGTTCACAGCACCCTCAACCTCCCAGGCTCAAGCGATCCTCTCAACTCAGCCTCCTGACTGGCTGGGATTACAGATGCACAGCCCCCTGCCTGGATAATTTTTAAAACATTTTTTTGTAGAGAGAGGATCTCACTATGTTACCCAGACTAGTCTTGAACTCCTGAGCTCAAGCGATCCTCCTGCCTCAGCCTCCTAAAGTGCTGGGATTACAGGCGTGAGCCACTGCAACCAGCATCATTTAGTTATTTAAAGAAATTAATGAAAGCTGATTTTCCTTTTATCTTAGCTATAGGAATTTTACCTTTGTAGCTATCAATAGCTATTTGGACCATAATAACTTTAAAAGCCAGAACTTAGGGTTGAGGAAGGAAGCTCTGAGCTTGGAATGAAAAGAACCTACTGACACCAACATGAAACACATACCACAGAGAATTCCAAAAGTCACAGAGACTCCAAACAACTTCTTCAACCTTGTATTCTCAAACTCCAAGAAATCTCAAAATCCTTGGACAAACACATTCACCAGAAAATACTACGAGGGGAGTCAGATTCCAGAAACCCTGTCTGCTGCACCTGACAGAAATCATGTCATGGTCAGGCCATAGCAGCATCAAACCTAGATTCCACTCCTGCTGCTACCAATGTGGACACAATTGGCCATGCACCATCAGAACCAGAACCAGAAACAGACTTGGCAAGAATCAATTTAGCTCTATTGTCGCACAGAAGACATTTCAGAGGAGCCAGAGGAGGGTGGGCTGCAGATCAGATCCAAGGGGTAAGGTACACTGTGAGCTCTACCTGTCTGCCTGCTCCCTTGGTAGGAGCCAGGCAGCCAATAGCTTTGTAGAAACTCCAGGAATAAGCTGTCAAAGGAGGACCAGAGACTAATACATTTAGAAAAGAGAAGAAAATAATGAACACTTCAAATCAACTCTTCTAGCTATTTTGAAATATACAATAAATTATTGTTAGCTACAAAAAAAAAAAAAAAGAGAGAGAGAGAAGTAAACAAACTTTCAGTTGCAAAGAGTGGAAGGGAGTAAGCTTTCAAACAAAACTGGCTCATCAAATACAAAGCACAAATGTTTAAAGGAAAAAGTCCCAAATGGCCTAGATGACCGTGTTTACATTGGTACCATTTCTTCATGGTGGAAAACAGCAACTTTCTCACATGGTCATCAGAGTCACAGCGTATCCTCAGACTTCAGCAGAGCAAAAGTCAGGGATCAAATGGTTTTTCTTAGGAAGGCCAAGTTTCTGGGAAATAGTCAAGGCTTATTTTGGGGACCAGAACCAGTCAGGGCGACCCTGTTGGTTTTTTTTTCCTGCCATGGTATGTGAAGTGCTTAGTCATGTTGGAAACAGGGCAGAGTGTCAGCAATGCTCAACACACATTTGTTAAACTAAACTGAACTGAAGTTGACAGTCCCTCATAGGCCCATGAAAACCTGGTCTCTCTGGAGAAGCCACATGAAGATAATAGAAAAGTGATGTACAAGGGTCCCCTTAGCCAGCCTGAAATCAGTTTCCTGGTTAGCAGACAGGGTGGAATGTGGCGCTGTGCACCATTTCTGCCTGGATGTGGGACAGCTGTGTTCAGGCGGCCTCTCCTGTAAGGGAGCAGTGGCTCCCAGGGTCTGTGCTTTCTGGCACACGACACCCATGGGCAGGGGACTGGGAGTGAAAGCAGGGTAAGGAACCACTCTAGAAGTCGGGGCCAGCAGTCTTCACCCCTCTGAAGGTGCCTGGAGCAGCCATGTGTGTATTTATTTTCTGGACCCTGGTTTTGGCCCATCTTGTTAAAGAAGTGATGGCCACTCAAGCCGATCTGGGTGTCCCCCATCCCAGGGATTGACCGGCTTGCTTCTGCCTTCACAGTGTACTCCCCATTCTGGTGCCCACTCCTCACTTCAGTGATTCCTCTTTCTATTCCAGACTCATCTTCTGGAACCTTCCCTCTTTCACAGGCTCACATCTAATTGCTCTATCCTCTGACTGTGTTCTTACAACCACTGGGTCTGTGAGCTTGGGGAACACCTGTGTCTATGGTGGTGTTTTAGTGCCCATGTGTCTCATCTTACCTCTCAGACTGGAAGCTCCCTGAAGGCAGGACTATCTCTTTTCCATCTGCCACACACTTTAGGATCTCCCTGAAGGTAGGGGCTCTCGTCTCCTTTTCTTTTCAGATCTGGTGCCTCCTGAGGGCAGGGTTTGTGTCTCTTTCTGCTGGACTTCCCCATAGCCATGCTTGGGTAAGGGCCTGACTCTCTCAACAGATCTCTCACACCCAAGGACCCAGGTCTCTAACACATCTCTCTGGATGGTGATTGTGATTTGAAACCACTGTTTTGAGGGATGCTTTGCACTTATCCATAGGGCATGCAAAAGGTGTTCTTAGTGATGTCTTGTTGACAATCTTAAACTCCAATCCACTGGATGATCCTCCTTCTCCTCTCCCTTCAGTATCCAGAAGTAAGTGGAGGTTAGTGAAACACACACACACACACACACACACACACACTCCTTCTCCATACATTCTAAATGTCATCTACAAATGTACACCTCTAACCTCTCTAAATAGCCCTGTTCACCATAAACAACCATCCTCTCCTTGGAGTTGTTTTTGATGCCAGGAGAAAAGAAACACTGGCAATGTACAAAGCCAGAGCCCAGGTGACCCCAACCCCACGTGGTGCTGTGGTAGAATCAGAAAAAGTCCCCAACCCCCATTCAGCTCTGCCACTTGCTGACCTTTTTAGCATGACTCAGCCCCCTTGAGCCTCAGCTCCTCACAGGATTGTGGTAAGAATTCAGTGAGGTATGCATGTGAGGGTCTGGCACGGAGCAGATGCTCTGAGGAGGCCGGTTCTCCTTCTCCAACCCCACCTTCATTTCTGGCTCTCCCATGAGATTTCCACCCTCTGCAGTTGAGATGATCCTGTGGCTCCCCCACTAAACACTGAATTTGGAAAACGCATACAGCAGAGCTACATGGATCCCTTTTGCCAGAATGGAGATGGGTCAGATAGCAGTTATAACTCCCTTTAAGAGCCTTCAACATTAAAACAGGCAACTAGCCTGGGCGTGGTGGCTCATGCCTATAATCCCAGCATTTTGGGAGGCCAAGGCAGGCAGATCACCTGAGGTCAGGAGTTCGAGACCAGCCTAGCCAACATGGTGAAACCCCGTCTCTACTAAAAAGACTCAGGTGTGGTGGCATGCACCTGTAATCCCAGCTATTTGGGAGACTGAGGCAGAAGAACCCCTTGAACCCAGGAGGCAGAGGTTGCAGTGAGCTGAGATCTTGCCATTGCACTCCAGCCTGGGTGAGAGAGCAAGACCCTGTTTCAAAGAAAACAGGCAAATAAAGCTATCTTCAGACTCTCCATCCTTAGGAGTACTTAGGGGACCAGGCCTCATCCTTAGGCGACCGGGCCCTTTGGCCTGCGATGAGATGAGAAGGTCCTTCCTGAAGCCTGGAGATGGATGCGATTTGAGAACAGCTTATGTGGTAAGGAGGCTGTGGTAGAGAGAATAATGGCTCCCCAAAGATGTCCATGTCTTAGACCCCAGAGCCTGGAAACATGTAACCACACATGGCAAAAGAGACTTTGAAGATGTATCTAAGTTAAGAGTCTTAGTTGGGGAGGTTATTTTGGATTATCTGGGTGGGCCCAATATAATCACAGAGGTCCTTATGAGCGGATGATGGAGGGTCAGACACAGAAAAGGGGATGTGACAAGGGCAGCAGAGGTAGGAGTGATGTGCTCTGAAGATGAAGGAAGGAGCCACGAGCCAAGGGATGCGGGCAGCTTCTAGAAGGTTAGAAAGGCAGGGAAATAGATTCTGCTCTGGAGACTCCAGAAGGAACACAGCCCTGTGGACATCTTGATTTTAGCTTTATCAAACTTATTTTAGGCTTGTAACCTCAAAAAACTGTAAGACATTAAATATGTGCTGTCTTAAGCCATTATAATTTGTGGTAATTAGTTATAGCGGCCACAGAAAACTAATACAGAGATTGTTTTCTCCATTGACAATGAGGAAGCAGAGAGCAGGTGACCTTTCCAAGTCACTTGGCTGCTAAATACAGAGCCTGTACTGGAGCCCAGTCTCTAGGCTTCCTTTGACCAGGCATGGCCCAAGGCAAACCTGAGTGCAGGGAGTGTGAGGACATGCCTGAAAGTGACCTTTCTCCTGCTAGGCAAGGGCCTGGAGGAGGTGAAACCTGCGTGGTCTTCAATGCCCCTGACATTTGAAAGAAAGTGCCAGCTCCTCAATAAAAACATGCTCGAGGCAGACCTACCCAGGTTGGCACTGGATGAAGACCTCCCTGGTGGGGAGAAAGAAGCAGCTGGATTGCATGATCCCTACCCTGTCCCTCGGATTCACCAAGATGCACATTTCCCTTGAGAGGTTGTAGCCAAGGTGGTCTCAGGGGCACTGGTCACCCCTTAACACTCTGGCCCAGGAGGTGGCACAGTCCTCCCCCTGAAAAGCAGAGCCTGAGCCAAGGCATTCAGATAAGACTCAGGGGAGGCTTGAGGGTGAGGCAGGGGAAGTGCACGCTTTGAGGTGGGTCCTGGACAGTCAGACGTTCAAGCTATGCTCGACTCCTGATTCCATACGGAGGGCGCCATCTGTTTAGGGACCCCTGTTGAAAGATGCACCCCTGCTCCCAAGTCGGGGCCCTCTTCCATCTCCCTAAGGCTAGTCTTCTGAGCTCTGGTTTCCAATAAAGATACAACCTTTCCCCAGGGATTGGAGCTGGGCACCTCCTCTTTGTGGAGACAGAGCTCTCTATCTACAGACATGACCTGACTCATCACTCAGGCCACAGCTGAACCGAGAGAATATAACAGTCCCCCAACATCCACATCACTTCCACACTTCCACTGTTTGGGTAAAGCATTACATTACTCTCTGGAGCCCAGAGTCTTTTGGCTGAAAGACTAATTCACTCCATTATTCATCCTGAGGGGCAAGGGAGACTTGCTATGGGTGCCAAGTGCCCAACACATGCTATTCCAGTCACAACCCGCCCTGCCGAATGCTGGAATGGAGGTGTTGGCCTTATCCCTCTCAGTAGGTGAGCAAACGGAAGCTGAGAGAGGATCAGTGCTTTGCCCAAAGTCGTGCACATTTTATGTGGTTGAGCAAGACTTGAACTGAATTCAGCTCTTTCAACACTGAGTGCGAGGGTTGTTTAAGTAAGGCTGCCCTCATGGGATAAAAGGAGAGTGGGAGGAAAAAGAGAGAGAGCCAATATTGTAAGAAAATTCATGAAACACAGTGGGACAATAGGACAGAACAGTTGAAACTGGGACTGTCCTAGATAGCTGGTATAGATCTTGCCAAGAAAGGAAGTCAGAAGCTAACTATAGACTGAGGACCACGGGTGTAAGAACACGGTCAGTCCCTGGATTCTGCCACTTCTCCTTGTTGGTAATTTTCCATTCTCCCCACTGCTCCCCTGCAATGACTAGCACATAAACCCTGAAACTGAAAGGGACAGCTAGGAAGCAGATAGCCAGTCTTTGTCCAGTTCTGCAGCTATTTTAGGGAGAGAAAGAAACTCAACAATATGGTGTTTATGAGGAAAGTTTTGAGAAAACGTAAAAATAAGCGGAAAGGAGAGTGAATCTTTGGTGGCTTAGAAGGATAAACTAAAGAGCTCACAGGAGTCTGCCAGGGACTAAGGGCAGCATGTGTTCATTCTTTCAGGAAAGAGTTACTGAGCCCCTATTAGGTGCCAAGTCCTGGGCTAGGGTGGGGAGAGTGAGGAGTGGAACCTCCTTTAGTTAGGACAGTCAGGGAGGCTTCTCCGAGGAGGTGATCTTAAGCAGAAATCTGAGGGATGAGAGGGAGTCAGCTACCTCAAGAAGAGAGAAAATGATCCAGGCAGAGAACACCATATGCAAAGTCCTGGAGGTGAGAAAGAGCTTAGTGTGTTGGAAAAAAAAAAAGAGAAAAGCACAAGCAAGCTGACCAGCTGGCTAGAGTAGTTTGGGGATGTGGGGAGAGACAAGAGGCCCCGGGGAGAGAGGCAGGTCTGTGTCCTGGGGCCTGTGGAAACCACAGAGGGGTTTTGTCCTCTGTGCAATGGGACACCACTGGATGTTTAAGCAGGTAGTCCAGGATAGAGTTTATGTTTTGGAAAGTCACTCTAGTGGCTCTGTAGGGAATAGATTTGTGGTATGGCAAGAGTGGAAGAGGCATGAACATAAGCAGCTGTTAAAGAGGTCCAGGCAAGAGATGCGGTGGCCTGCCCTGGGCTGGGGACGTGGAGGTGGAAAGAAGGGTGGACTATGGACATTCCTTGGAGGGAACATCCGCACACTTACAGATGAGTTGGATGTAAAAGGATGAGGGAATAGAGGGACCAGGAACCACCCAGGGGGTCCTACCTTTAGCAAGGTGGACAAGGTTGTGCTAATTGTTTAATGTGAGGAATTCATGGGGTGGAGATAAGTTTTAGAGTAGGGGGTCTGTCTCAGCCATATTAAAGAACTGTTTATGCCTTATCTGGGTAGAGAGAGCAAGCGGGCTGGTGGATACATGCATCTGGAGCTTGGAGGAGAGGTCTAGGCTGCGGATACAGTCATTGGTGTCAAGATGCTATTTAAAGCCATGGGAACGGATGAGTTCACGTAGAGCAAGAAGGGCAGAAGCCCATGCCTGAGCCCTGAGGCATCCTGACATTTAGAGATCAGGTGGTGGAAGAGACCCAGAAGGTACAACGGCAACTATATCATTCAGCCCGACATCCACAGGCCCTGCAGGTTCAGCCCCAGTCTGCCAGGTGCTAGGGCCAGCAGAGGAGGGGGACAGGGCCCTTGCCCTCAATGGGCCCAGGGTCTATGTAGAAGGCAGTTGTTGAGCCAATACTTACAATATAATATGGTAAAGATGGGCCCAGGAGAAGGAACTAGAAGAAATGACTGTGGTCCCAGGTCCCAGAAGCTAGGGCTATGACTGAGTCTGGGAGGGGCCATGGGCCTCAGAAAGATGGAGAGAAAAGTTGCAGAGGGCCAGGCGCGGTGGCTCATGCCTGTAATCCTGGCACTTTGGGAGGCCAAGGCAGGCAAATCACGACATCAAGAGATCAAGACCATCCTGGCCAACATGGTGAAACCCCGTCTCTATTAAAAATACAAAAATTAGCTGGGTATGGTGGTCGGTGCCTGTAATCCCAGCTACTTGGGAGGCTGAGGCAGGAGAATCGCTTGAACCTGGGAGGCAGAGATTGCAGTGAGCCGAGATTTCGCCACTGCACTGCAGCCTGGGCGACAGAGCAAGATTCTGTCGAAAAATAAAAAAGAAAAGAGGCAGAGGCTGGGAACTATTCCAGGTCTGGCATCCTTCCCTGAGACCTCCAAGTCCCCTTGAAGCTTGTTGCCCATCCTTCCCTTCCGCTCGCCGCCAGCCTCCCACCCCACCTCCTAGTCCGCCTCCAGTTTCTCCACACTGCCCGATCTTCTTCCAGCAGAGCCCCTACCGCTCATGAGTAACAACATGGAGCCCTGCTCATTCCTCATTCCCATTCCTACCCCAGGCCTCCAGGTCTCCACCCCTTCCCTGACAGGCCAGCCTTCTCAGGAGATGTGTTTTCTACAACTAGGATTAACTTGACAGGAAAATGACCACAGCCTGAAGCCTTGCCCTCCATCAGGGAGGGATGCTGTCTCCAAAACAGTTGCTTCATTTCCTGCTGTTGAGAAATCATGCCTGTTGACCAGCTTACATTTCACATTACTAAGAAAGGAGAGAAATCTGCCCTGCTGAACTTCTTAGACAGAAACTTGGTTAACCCCCTGGGTTTGTGGGTGAGGGTCCTGCACGAACCCCCTTCCCTCCTGTCAGCTGCAAGTGCAGCGGCTGGGCTGCTGGTTTACATTGCTGCCTGGGTCATGGTGCCCACTCAGTTCGCTCTCTCCCATGGCTATGTGCAGTCCACAAACCTGGACCGTTTGGCCTCAGCCTCTCTCCATCCTTATCCCCTCCTGCCTCCCGGGTCTTCGCGTGCCTGGTCCAGTCTGGACACACCCTGGCCCTCAATCTGAGGTCATGGCTCTGAGTCTCATGGCTGACTGCCTGAGACTGCAGTGAGGTCTGAACCCTCATTCAAAACTCGATCTCAGTTCTGTTGTTTCTTTACGTTAGGGTCCCCACAGATCATCCAACCAGAGGAAATTTCCTCTGAACATATTTAATTTGTTCTTTTTTAATTGTTTATGACTCATTTAATCTTGAATTATAATACTTTGTGGGCATGCCTTATCCCCTCTCTTCTAGACTCTATAAACTCCAGAAGCTCAGGCCTTGAATCTGGAGTCAAATCTCATTTATCTTCATCCACAGTCTCAGCCAAGAGCTTGGACATGCTTGTGGAATGGATGAGTTTTGATTAGAATTGTAGAAGGAGAATTTGAGCTGATTGATATGGGAAATGCAACCTAGGGATTGATTTGTTGGTTCTGTACAAAAAAGTACCACTAACAGCTAGGAGCAGAGTCTATAAAGGGGATAGAGAGCAGTTCATTTATTCACTCGTTCATTCAACAAACACATATTAAGCATCTACTATTTGCCAGAAGTAGTATTAGATTCCGGAGATATAGTAACAAACAAGGCTGATAAAGTCCTGGTCACATGGAGTTTCTCTTCTAGCTCAGAAAGACGGATAGTCAACAGCAAACAAACAAACAAACAAAAAACAAAACAAAACAAAAAACACCGCGCAGCAGTAAGTGCCATGATAATAAACAATTTGGAGTGATGTGAGAGAGTGACAGGGAGGTGGTTGAAAGGACTCTCTGAAGAAGTGATGCTTAAGGGGAGACCTGAAGGGTAAGCTGGGCTGCTATGGGAAGATCTGGGCATGGAAAACCAAGCCCAGGAAGCAAGAATAGATCAGACCAAGTTTTGAGGTCAGGGCAGGTGGGGAATAGAGATGGGACGAGTTTAATGGGTTCAGAAAACAGAAAGAAGGAAAGAGTAGCTGGATCATTTGTTCATTGCCTCATGGTGATCAAGGGGGCAATGAACAAAGATAATCAACAGTTCAATAGGAAGATAATGGCAAGGTAGACAATACAAATGGTATAGTATCAACAGCAGAAGCTTTGATCTGCGGATGAATTGGAGTCCTGGCCAATTGTTATGGTGTGTGAGCTTGGGCAACTTTTCTAGGTCTTACTTTTCTCAAGCCTAGTTTTTAGAGTTCTTGCAAAGATGAAATGGTATAATAGAAATGAGCATCTACCAAATGACTTTGTGTAAATGGTAGCCTACAATCCAGGTAATAATCTGAAAACCAGCCTTACAAGATCAGGGTTGACCAGAAGCATGGAGCAGAAAGTAATGACCCAGCAGCTGGGCCTAACGAGCCCTCCTTGCTGCTCCTAACCTCATCACCCTCTTTCCCTCTCCTTTCCACTGGCCTGCCCTTTCCTGCCCTTCACGTTTTCCTTATTTTTCTCTAGTCTTTCTCCTTTTCCTACCACAATTTCTCACTCTTTCTTTCCTTTACATTCTTTTAAGTCACACCATCTCAACTGCCTTCAATTTGGAAAACATATTCTAACATATTGATCATGTTTATTTTGCATGGTTTTGTCTTCCTTTAAAAATCAGGTGTTCTGAATGTTTTATACATCTTTCCTAATTAAAAAGAAACAGCAGCAGCCACATCAAACTTCAGTAATTTTATACAGTGATGTGGCCCTTGTATGATTATGATTTTCCACTGAGGTCACTGCCCCTTAATAGAAAATGGCTCCCACCACTGGATTAAGGGATTAGAAAGAGATTGTCTCAAGGCATTTAGGGTCTGGTGTGCTGGGAGATCTCTCCACTGGCAGGGAGGGGAGGTCTGGATGTGTTCAAAGGTCAGTGGCCTCTGAGTCACTGCAGGGATGCTCTGGAGCACAGCCTGGGCATCTGGCTCCACCGCTGGCTGGCTGAAGCTCAGTGGTTGCTGCAGATGTGGAACCCGAAAGGTGGAAGGGCAGGGAAGGCCTGTGGGGTCAGCTAGTGCAGACTGAGATCCTGAGGAATCTGTAAGGACAGGCTCTGGTGTGAAGTGCAATGTAAGACACCCTCCCTCCCATTGTTCCAGGCCCCTGTGCTTGGCCAAGAAAGGACAAGTTTCCTCTGCAAGCATGCGTGTTGCACAAGGGTGGGGTGTGTGTGTGCGTCTGCTCGTGCACATGCATACACGTGTGTCAGGAGGAGGAAGCCATAGAGCAAGTCCCCCATGTTTAGCTCAGGATGATATTGCAAGGAGTCTTCTGGATGGGGGATCAGGGTGAAGAAGTGATGCTTGATGCCAAGTGGAGACTCTGACCCTCCCTTGCTTTCCTTATTTTCTGAGAAGAGGTACCCAGTGGCTGGCAGTGGCCAGCTGTGGCCAGTAGGTCATCTAGTCCAACCTGCCGACTGTACAATGGGACACAGAGGACTTGGGATGAGAAGTGACTTGTCCAGGGGGCAAAGACCTCTTGATCTTCCCTCCATACCAAGTCACATTTGCGTCCAGGCGATGGCAGTAGGAAGATGGTGGGGTGACATTCCTTCTGTACTCTGACTTTAGGGGTCCCAGATGTCGAACATGAAGCCCTGTCCTGGCTCATGTTATGGAGCCAAGTCCCTTCATACTCCAGGGTTGGGTGAAGTAGCTCTGGGTTGTGCAGCAGAAGGCAGCCCAGGACTTAACCGTGGGCACAGATAAGCCACATGTGGCATACAGAGAGCTAACTTTAAACATGGAGAGGGTGGAGGTTTCCACCTCTAAGGAGGCCCAAGTAAGGTCATACGAACTAAGGCTACAGCTTGGCCATCTTACTCTAGATGCCAGGAAGGAGCTTAGGGAAATAAGGGCACCAGCGGGTGGGTCTGGGCTGGTTTGGGTGGACTGGCTCCCCCGTGTCCCTGCTGCTCTGCTTCAGACGAAGGCCAAGGACAAGCAGTGGTAATGGCAGTAGTTGTGGACACCGGGTCCTTGTCCCTTCCCTCTAGATGCCCCCCTTCTCAGGTGACCCCTTTACTGTCCCCCCTTGGAGTGTGATCTCCAAGGGTGGAGCTGCTGAGTGGGTAGGGGGACTGGGAGGTGCCCTCACCTAAGCCTGGGCTTCTGCTTGCCTGGCCTCATCAGTTTATTATTGGCCCGGGTGACAGCTGGGAATGGCAAGGACACCCTGGAGGAGGGAGTGGGTGGGGCTGGGGCCATCCTAAGCCCCCAAGATCCCACATGCCTGTGGTGGGGGCCAAGGAATGAAAGGAATGTCTGCATGCTCTCCCTTCCTCACTCCCACCCTGAGCAAAATGAGGCGAGGCCCAAGACAAATGTCAATGTGGGCCTTTGGAAGGGTTGTTTCTTTCCTTGAGATATATTTGAAATACATTTGTTGCCTTAATGCCTGAATTAATTAAGAGGGATCTGGCTACTTTCTCTTGGCACCAAGCTCTGAACAAGGGGAAATGGGCATTACTAACAGGAAGAGACTGAATGAGCATAAAGAGCGCTTGTTAGTAGTTAATCTACCCTAGACCAGGAGGTTGCATCTGGGGAGGAGGCCTAGGAAAAGCACGGTGTGGAGGAGGGGGTTGCCGGGAGACCCTGCAGCTGCACCCAGCTCCACCAACCTTTCAGACGCACCCCTGTCTACTGCTTTGTCACCTTTTTCATTCTGCATCTCAGATGGAGCTGCTCTCTTAGCCAGGATCCCCTTCAGTTCCCCCCAAACTCAGCAACACCAGGCCCTAGAGTCAAGGGACATGCATTTCCCATGTGAGAGCTTTATACTGTAGGAAAAGCGGCATCTTCAATGGCATTTACAATTGATAAAAGAAAAACTTCAGCTGGGCGCAGTGGTTCATACCTGTAATCCCAGCACTTTGAGAGGCCAAGGAAGGTGGATCACCTGAGGTCAGGAGTTCAAGACCGGCCTGGCTAACATGGTGAAACCCCACCTCTACCAAAAAGACAAAAATTAGCCAGGTGTGGTGGCACGCACCTGTAATCCCAGCTACTCAGGAGGCTGAGGCAGGAGAATCACTTGAACTTGGGAGGCGGAGGTTGCAGTGAGCTGAGATCACTCCACTGCACTCCGGCCTGGGCGAGAGAGTGAGACTTTGTGTCAAACAAAACAAACAAACAAACAAACAAAAAACAAACTACAGCTGAAAGAGTTTAAGGAGTTTAATTGAGTTTAATTGAGCAATGAACGATTCACAAATTGGGCAGCCCCTAGAATCACAGCAGATTCAGAGTCTCCAGGGGTGCCTCGTGGTCAGAACAAATTTACAGACAAAAAAGAAAAAGTGAAGTACAGGAATTGGAAGGGAAGCACAGAAACCGGGAGATTGGTTACAACTTGGCGTTTGCCTTATTTGAATGTAGTTTGAACATTCAGCAGCATATCAGTAATTGAAGTATGGCTGCTGGGATTGGCCAACACTCAGCTATTGTTACAGGTGCACACTACTAAGTTAGGTTTTCAATTTTGTCTGACTATTAAGCTAGGTTACAGTTCATCCACAAGGACCCAAATATGGAAGTATGGAGTCCTTCTCAGGCCGTAGTTAGTTTGCTTTAACACAATGTAGGGAAAGGCTGTACCTGTGGGAGGGGACATGGAGCCAGGGGAGAAGAAAGAAGGAGGGAAGAATGGAGGGAGCAGGTTTATTGAGCCTGGATCCTCTGGAGATCCCTGGGGGAATCTGTGGATTCCTTCAGTGAGAGAAGTGAGGGCAGTGCCTCAAGATGAACAACCTCCCCAGAAGGTTCTTAATTATTCGTGGCACTTTCAACAATCTGGTGTCACTCAGCGACTTCTGGGAAAACCACAGGTTTATGGCATCTGCTCTATCCCTCTCCAGGGACACTTAAGAGGGACAGATGGGAGGGAGAGAGCACTAGCCACTACCTTGATTTTATGTCAAATAAGGGCTCTTGCACAGGAAACAGAGATGCTGAGTTCTGAGTAAGACAAAAGCAAGCTCTAATGCCACTTCCTACCACCCTCAGTACCATTTGGGGAGAAAGAGGAGGATCTTGGCCTAAGAAGGGACAGAGAGTTTCAGCTTTCTACCTACTAGAGGGAAAATAGAAAATGCAATAGCCCTGTAGCCAACAAAGACACTAAATCAGTGGTTAAAAATTATCCTTAAAAAAAGCATCGAGCTGATGGCTTTACTGGTGACTGCTACCAAATGTTCAAGGAGCAGATAAGTCCTTTTAACACATCTATCAAAAAATAGAATGAGGGGACCTTCCCAGCTTGATATCCCAGAATCTTGATACCCCAGATCAGTTTATTATTGGCCTGGACAACAGCTGGAGGTGGTGAGGACTTCCTAGAGTGTAAGAAAGAAAACATGCAGGTCCATCTTACTCACTAACATATGTGTGAAAATGTGAAAAAAAAAAACTAATCCAGCAAATTACAAAAAAAAATTAATATAGCATGACCAAGCTGGCTCAATCCTAGAAATGTAAGATGAATTTAACAGGGGAAAATGAATATGATTTATTACCAGAATAAAAGCAAAAATTTATAAATGGAAAACCATATGACAAAACTTACATCCATTCTCATAAAAACTCCTGGCAAATTAGGAGTAGAAGGACTTCTTTAGTCTTGTTAAAGGCATCTATGCAAAACCTACAATAAATGGCATATTTAACACTGAAATATTGAAAGCATCCTCTTTCAGGCCAAGAACAAGACAAAAATGTCCATTATCACTGCTTACACTCACCACTGTACTGGATGTCTTAGAGCAGTTTGCAAGACAAATAAACAAAAGTTATATGGTTTAGAATGGAAGAAACAAAACTTATTTCTGCAGATGATATGACATGACTACCTACATAGAATGCTGTGCAGAATTTGCAGAACAATAATCATCAAACTTAATCAGAGAGTTAGAAAAGTTGCTGGATACAACATCAACATACAAAAGTGGCATTACCATACACCAACAACAGTTGGTTAGAAAATTTAATTTTTACCATGGATAAAATTTATAACCGTAATCAAAAATTTAAAATACCTAGGAATAAATCTAATAAAAGATGTATGAGACCTTTAAGAAAAAATTTATAAAATTTTATCAAAATATATTTAAGAAGACAACTAGGGCCAGGCACAGTGGCTCACACTTGTAATCCCAGTACTTTGGGAAGCTGAGGCCAGGAGTTCGAGACCAGCCTGGGCAACATAGGGAGACCCTGCCTCTATTATAAATAGAAAACATTAAAAAAAGCAGTAGAAGACAACTAAACAGATATACCATGTTTTTAGATAAGGAGACTTAATATCATACAGATGCCAATTCTTCTCAATCTATAGATTCAGTGCAATTATAATCAAAACCTGGACAGAATTTTTAATGGAATTTGGCAATATAATTCTAACATATACATGGAAAAGTAAGAGCTAAGAACATCCAAGACATTTCTGAAACAAAGAACACAGTATAAAGATTTGCTGTAATAAATATCAGGATTTATTATAAGGCTTTAGTAATTAAGATAGTGAGTTATTGGGGCAGCAAAAGAAAAATACACCAATGGAACAGAAAGATTCCCATGTGTGTACAGAAACATAATTTGTTTCAGGGATGGTATTGTAGGTTAGTATGAAAGGGATAGATTATTCAATAAATAGTGCTTGAATAACCAGTTATCCGTATAGAAAAAAAATTAGATACAACCTTACAGCATATTTAAATGGCAATTTCAGTAAGACTAAAGGCTTAAGTGGGAAAAAAGCTACAAAACTTTTAGAAGATAATATAGGAAAATAGCTCTTGACTTCAGACTAGAGAAAAATTTCTCAAGATACAGAAAGTAAAAACCATAAAGAATAAGATTGGTAAATCTGACTACATTAAAGGCACCTAAGGAGAATGAAAAGCCAAGCCTCAACCCAGAAGATTTAGCCAAACCTGCAGTCATGAGTGGATTTGTGTTCGGAGCATGGAAAGAACGCCTACATTTCAGTAAGAAAGATATAAACAACCCAATAGAAAAATGACAAGAGACACATTGGACTATTCACAAAAGACAAACACATATTGCTTATAGGTATAGGAAAAGATGCTGAAACTATAATGAGTAATTAGGACAATGCAAGTTGAAACTCTAACGGGATACCATTTTACATCTCTCAAACTGGTATAAAGTATGATATGGTAATGGTGAGGATGGGATACAAGAGAATTCTGCTGACGGGAGGGAAAAGTTACACAACCGCTTTGGGAAAACACGTTGCCTGCACCTGGTAAAATTGAACAAGCACATAATTCACATCCCATTAATTCTACTCCTAGGCATATTCTACACATATGCACTAGGAGACATCCTCAAGAGTGTTTATAGCAATATTGTCCACATTGGCCACAATCTAGAAACAACCCAAATGCCTGTTGACAGTGAAATATGTAAGTCATGGCATACTCTTATGATGGAATACTATACAGTAGTGAAAATGAGTTACAGTCATGTGGAGCATTGGGCCACAGAAGATACCATACAGTGTGATTCCATTTATGTAAGTTTCAAAACTAGTGCAAACTAAACAATTTTATTTAAAAATGCACACCTAGCTGGTAAAACTACAAGAAAAACAAGAAAAGGAATAACCAAAATCTAGTTAGAGGGCTATGGGATTAGGGAGGGGCACATCAGTCACTGTTCATCAGAGGCTGCTAATGTTGTTTCCTTACCTGGGTGAGGGATTCATAAGAGTTCCTGAACATATATGTTTTGAACACTATTTGGTATAATGTGGTATATTTTACAATGGAGACAAAATTAAAATGATAAAGAGTTTCAGCTCTCACTGCTCCAGGTAGGGTGTGATGGACAGTTTGGTCCCCGATCTGACCAGCCAAGGGGGGAGCCAAATTTGTCTGGGGTTCCAGCAGGTGTGTCAGATGTAACAATGAATGCTATGAGAGAGAAGAATACAGGGGCCTCTTCTTTATGGGTGAAGAGTGGTCATCACTGTTAAGGAAGGTGGCCAGACATTAGTGGGTTAAGCCACCAAAAAGTAAATAGCCCCAAATTCCTTTCAAACTGTATTGCTCAATGTCAAACACACTGTAACAGTTCAAGCAGTATTTGTGCCTGTCTTCAAAGGCCATGCAAGCTTACATGACCTAGTTTATAATTAAGGTGTGTGGGGCTGACAGGGCAGTCTGGTGGGAACAGAGAGAAAGTCTTGTTATAAAAAGTGGTATTTGCTTTGCAGTAGATGCTCAAACTTCATATGTCAGATTGTCTTGGGCAATGAGAGCAAGAAGTTCACCCTAGGTGGAGGCAATAAGAATGGCTTGTATGCAGAGAATTTTTAAAAAACAAGGATAAAGCCAGGCTTGGCCTGTTTTTTATTATCCCCATGAGCCTGCAGCTCCAAACAGCATCAGTCATGAAGTACCTGTACCTTCTCTCTGGGTTGATTTTTTGTTTTGTTTTGTTTTGTTTTTGAGATGGAGTCTCACTCTATCACCCAGGCTGGAGCGTGCAGTGGTGCAGTCTCGGCTCACTGCAACCTCCGCCTCCCGGTTTCAAGCGATTCTCCTGCCTCAGCTTCCTGAGTAGCTGGGATTACAGGTGCCTGCCACCATGCCCAGCTAATTTTTGTGTTTTTAGTAGAGACAAGGTTTCACCATGTTGGTAAGGCTGATCTTGAACTCCTGACCTCGTGATCTGCCCGCCTCAGCCTCCCAAAGTGCTGGGATTACAGGCGTGAGCCACTGCACCAACTGGGTTGATCTTTTGACCCTTGGTGCTAAGCTGATCCTGGAGACCCCCCACCAACAGTCCCACCAGCTGGAAACACCATGAGGGCAGGGTTCATTTCTGCATTTCCCTTAGGCCCTAGCACAGCTCCTGCCACATGGCAAGTGCTCAGGCAATGCTTATTGTTTTAAGCATCATTAAGATTTCATACTTAGGTAAACCATAAAATCAGATATTGTAGAGGACAAGAGCTGAGGCATGAAGGAGGGTGCACTGGGGAGAGCAACCAAAGACATGGGTGGGCCTGGGTCAGGCCCTGACTCCACTGCCGGCTTGACTTGGACACCGTGGTTTCTGCACCTGTGATCCCATGGGATTGACAGCAGAGATAAATGGACCTGAATATTAGTGTATGGCTGGACACAGAAGAAGTGCCCAATACTCATAACCTCTGAGGTCTAGACACCAAATAGCAGGGTAAGGAGATAAAAGAAATACATATGATTTTAACCTGGGGGAGGAAAGACAGCAGTGTTCTAGAAAGCAAACCTGGGCTCTGGGTCTCATCTAGACTGGCATCTAAATTGCAGTTTTAGGCCAGGCGTGGTGGCTCACGCCTGTAATCCCAGCACTTTGGGAAGCTGAGGTGGGCAGATCACTTGAGGTCAGGAGTTCGAGACCAGCCTGGCCAACATAGTGAAACCCCATCTCTACTAAAAATACCAAAAAATTTAGCTGGGTGTGGTGACATGCGCCTTTAATCCCAGCTACTTGGGAGGCTGAGGGACGAGAATCACTTGAACCCAGGAGACGGAGGCTGCAGTGAGCCAAGATTGCACCACTGCACTCCAGCCTGGGTGACAGAGTGACTCTGTCTCAATAATTAATTAATCAGCTAATTAATTGCAGCTTTGCCACATACTGCTTGTGTAACCCAAGGGAAACAGAAAATGACACGTCCTTTGCAGGGGTACCGTGAGGATTAAACGACACAGGTTAATTCACTTACTATTCATTCAGTAACTATTTATTGGATGTCTAATACATGCTTAGTATGGTCTCTGGTCATGCAACGAATGTTAATTCCCCTGTCTCTTTGAAGGAAGGACTAATGGCTGGACACTAATATTAAAAGAGTCAGTGGTATTCAATAGAAGGGCTTGGGAGAGTAGTGCTCTTGTCATGAAATAGCACTTCAGTCTGGAAATCCTCTAAGTGATTTCTGCACCTGAGGGTAAAAGAAGAAAAAAAGTCAGAAATTACATGGTTCAATATTTACTGAGCCTCAAACATGTGTCATGATTGGAGAGGACCACTTAAGACATTGTGCTTGACCTTAGGAGCTCGGAACCTAGGGGAGGAGTCTAACATCCACACAGATCACGGTGGCAGCATATGTCAGTGTGGTGGCCCAGTGGTCTAGTGTGGCAGGGAGGCAGTCACTGATGTCCAGGGCACCCGAGGATGTTTCCTGCAAGAGTAACCCAGGAGCTGACTGTCTCAGGGTGACTGGCAGTGGCCCGGTGGGGAAAGGAGGGATGGCACAGGCAGAAGTGAAGCACAGGTGGAGATGCGCTGGAGGAAGGCATGGCTTGTTTGGAGACTCCCGATGGTCCCCTGGGATACAGGTCACCACACTGGATATGGGACACCAAGGGTGCTTTCCTAGCAGCAACCTGGGGCAGAGGAGAGGGAGGATGTTGTACTGGACCATGCACGTGGACCATGCACTGGGCATAAGGGCATGACAGAGGCTGGGGCAGTCACCAAAGGTTGACTCTGAAGGTACAGTCCACAGGTTGGGGCAGTGGCCGGGAGCCCTAACCTCAGTCGGTATTAACTAAAAGGCCACCAGGCAAGTGGGGATTGAGGTGACAGTTGACATAAAGGATAGGGGAGCAGTCATTGCTCTGGAGGACTTGTCCATGGGGCCATGATCACCGCCATCAGACTAAGGGCCTACACGAGGCACCTGTGCCAGGGGAGAAATGGGGCCAAGGCAGGGCCTCTTGGGGACATTTAGAAGAGGGGACCAAGGCAGGACCATGTCCTATAAGCTGGGTTAACAAAGGCAGCCAGGGAAGAATTGCACCCAGATTTACCCCTGAGGACTGTGGATCTCAAAAGTGCATGGGCAAATCTTCCTTTGACTTGGGATCTCATCTCAAATGTGGCCTCTACTGAGCCTTCTGTGACCACACTGTGCACAGCAGTCCCCTCACCGCCATCCTTCACTCTCTAGCCATATCTTGTTTCCTTTCAGCACTCATTATTGCCTGGAAAGGTCTTATGTGCACGTTTGTTCACTGTCTGCCTCCCCCAACAGAATGTTAGCCTCAGGAAAGTAAAGCCCCGGCTCTTGTCCCTGCTGTGTCCAGCTGGACACCAGGCCTGCATGGACACTTGGTGTGTGCTGAGAAACTCAGCAGCAGCAGGAAGACTCCAGCCACATGGGGCTTCAAGGCCAAGGTGGAGTCAAAGGAGACAATCTGGCTGGGAACAATGGCTTACACCTGTAATCCCAACAGTTTGGGAGGCCAAGGCAGGAGGATCACTTGAGCCCAGGAGTTGGAGACCAGCCTGTGTAACATGACAAAACCCTGCCTCTACATAAAATACAAAATTTAGCAGGGCATGGTGGTGTGTACCTGTAGTCCCAGCTACCTGGGAGGCTGAGGTGGGAGGATCAGCTGAGCCCAGGAGGTCAAGGCTGCAGTGAGCTGTGATCGTGCCTCTGCACTCCAGCCTGGGTGACAGAGAGAGACCTTGTCTCAAGCAAACAACAGCAACCCCGTCTCTACTAAAAATACAAAAATTAGCCTGGTGTGGTGGCAGGTGCCTGTAGTCCCAGCTCCTCGGGAGGCTGAAGCAGGAGAATCGCTTGAGCCCAGGAGGTGGAGGTTGTAGTAAGCCGAGATCACGCCACTGCACTCCAACCTGGGCAACAGAGCGAGACTCTGTCTCAAAAAAAAAGAAAAAAACCAAAACCCAAAAAACAAAAACCAAACAAACAAACAAAAAACAAAACAAAACAAAAACAAACAAAAAGAGATAATCTGAACACAAATAGCTTTTCGAGAACTCTCATTGTTTCTGTCCTAGACAGGATTCATTCAGAAAATGGCGTGGGCCTGAGCTAGCCGGGTGACAGAGGGCTGTGGGAGTCCCACATGAGGAGCTGGCATGATGGTTGAGGTTAATGCTGACATCAGGGGTACCCAGCAACTGAACTGGGGTGGGGACGGCAGGAGAAGTGACCGGAGAAGACACGAGGGCCTGATAAAGTGTCTCAACCCTGTGCTGATGGGTGGGGACTTTCTCCTTTGGGCAGGGGAAGCCTGTCACTTCCCTTGCTTAGTTTTTAAGCAGGGGAACTGACAGGCTTAGATCTCTATTTTAGAAAGATTAAACTGGTTGCGATGTGGTGGCTGACTGGAAGAGGGGGTGGGCAGGAAGCAGGGAGGCCAGATAGAAGGTGGGTCCAGATATGAGATGATGCTGGTTCTAGCTGAGGGAGTGGCCATGAGTTTGTAGAGGAGCAGGGTGGATGTGAAGACCAGAGAGAGGCTGTGGCTAATGCTTTCCTGAGGGTAACAGTAGTGCAGGTGTAAGACTGCGTACTCAGGGAGGACTTTGGTTATTTGGATGCTTGTAGGAGGGCGCATTCTGCTAAAAGGAGACTACAGTTTTTGCTAAATCCTTGACAAACCCAGCTCACAGAAGTTGAAGAAAGGGCTGAGAAGGGAAGAGGGAGGGAGGGAATGAGCACTGATCATAGGGCAGGCGTGCACGACTTCACTGACTCCTCACATTTCTTCCATCCTACAGCAGAGGACTGAGGCTCTGCTTCTTTGCCTGAAGTCACACAGCTGGAGTGCAGCACGCCAGAAGTCACCCCTGCACCTGGACTCCACTCCTAACAGCTCGTTGGGATGTGGTTGGTGTATCCCTCAATTGAGACCTCAGGGGGCGGAGCACGTGCTCAAGCAGCTTGTGCTCTGGACTGAGGAGAGCAGGTTTCAAAATGCCCATGGACAGGCAGGCTGCCGGAGTGACGGGGACACTGTTCCTGCGCTCTGGTGCTGGGTTGACTCACATGGGGGGCCAAGCTGCCTCCCCCTCATCTCACCTGTCCCAGTCCCCAGCTGCCTTCCCAAGTCCCAACCAGAAACCAGCTTGGAGTGAATAACAGGCTGGACCATTAGGCTTTGTGCAGATTTTCTTCAAACAGAATGACCAAGGTGCAGCCCAAAGCAGCCAGGAATGTTGGGATGACTTTATTTAACCAGGACACCGTGTGCATGCTCTCTGGCCCATTTCAGGCCTTGGTTCTGGACTCAGAATTGGTTAGAATCAGTCTTCAGTTTAAATGCCTATAAAGTGAGAATAATCATTGTTCCTTCTTCATCTGGTGAACGGGGGCAGTAGGTGAGATAGGGCCTGCAAAGGGCCCAAACAGGATTTATCTCGAAGACCCCTGAGTACCAGGGGTCTGAATTCTTAGTGTAATGCTGAGTGGCTGCTCGCAGAGCGCTTAAATCAGGGAAAAGTTCTTCTCTGCTGCCATCTAGTGGCATTTTGGGAATAACACGTGCGTGAAGGTCCGCAGAAGCTCCTGTTTCCAGGCTTCTGAGCCAATAACCAAAGAACGTGTTGCACTTGGGGCCGCGCTCTGGCTGCCATCACCTGTGTACTGGAAACTGCCCACTGGCATATGGACTCATGGGGCAAGACCTGCCACAGGGCCTGGCACATCCTGCACGGACCACCTTCCCACCTGGCTCTGACCTGCGGATGTTTTGGAGTCAACAGTGTGCTTAGAGAGCCTCTTAAGTCACCACATCTTTGGGAAGAGGGGCACAAACCAAAGATTTATTTTGCAAGTGAAAGGGGCAGCCCAGGAGACCCAGAAAAAAGGAAGGCAAGGCTGAGAGCAGAAAGCCTGGATAAAGGAAGACCACAGAAAGGCCTGCAGGAGCCAGATTGCGGCCCCCAGGGAAAACCCAGGAGGCAGGCTGTAGAGTGATCCTGGGCCCAGCCTCAAAGCTGGGACTGGAGGGGCTTTAGCGACTCAATTCCAGGTGCAGCATTTGCAGGAGTTGCTGAACACCAGGCCTGTCGGGCAGCTTTGCTGGAACAGCCGCCCCGCTGCACAGCTGTAGAAGCTGGACCGTTCCCGAGGATTGGGATAGAGCCCATCAGCTTTGCCCTGGCAGAACGTGTCTTGTCCAGGGCTGGGGCCATGCTCAGGTTCAGAGGGCTGACCTGGTTTTGGAACTTCAAGCTCTGGGGTGCCTGAAGGCAAGTATGGAAGACCTGGGAAGACAGTGAAGATTCAACCAAGGCTCCCCCGAAGAGATCCCAAACCCACAGGCAGAGCACACAGGCAGCAACCATTGGCTGGCAGCAGCCCAGCACCACATGCCCTACAGGCTGAGTACAGCCAGATACCCCAGGCAGAGAACAGCCAGACAACAGCCATACCTACAGCTGAAGCACAGTGCCACAGGCAACACCTGGCCTCACATGTGACAGGCAGTTAAGGCTTTACCCATCTGCAAGCACAACCATATACTGCTGAGGGCAGGTGGGGGTGCCACGCTGCAGGCTAAGGGGAGGCTTTCTCCCAGGTAAGAGAGGAACAAGGTGCTGCTCCCAGTCTGGGGGCCCTCTGGAGGGAAGCCACGGTTACAACAACCCTGGGCAGGCATTGCTACAACCAGGAAGAGAAAGACCGCAAAAAGGAAAATTGTTTTGACAGTTTCCTTAGCTCCTGCGGGTACATGAAGCTTGGGAAATTACAGTATTGGGGCAAAGTCATTTCCTCAGAAGGACCCGGGACCTACAGTTCATTGGATGCATGGAGCTGTGTTTGTACCCCACCTCCAAATTCCACCACTGGCCCTGGGCCCCTTACTTACTCAGTTCCTGCCGTAGCGTCTGGATGAGGGGGTATCGGCCCTGGTTGCAGGAGAAGCCGGCAAAGTCATCTAAGTCCAGTGCCCAGACCATGGCCCCGCCCAGTCCCTTCTGCTTCAGATAGCTGACCTGTGCAGGGAGGGGATGCAGTGGAGGAGCCCGGGGAAGCCTGACCCGGCCACCCCAGAGCCTGGCTACCTCTTCTGGACAGGGCCCTTTTTGCTCCAGCAGCCTCAGGCCTGTGAGTGGCTGTAGATTCTGGAGACAGCCTTGGGCTGGGAGCCTGGATGCTGAGTCCTCATGCTGCTTGGACATCAGTCATTTTGCAGTCTCCTTGTCTTAACGTAAGCATGACCTGGGGTGGGGTGGGTGCAGTCGGGAGGAATAGTGTCAGTTGTGTGCACCTCCCTAAGTGGGAACCCTTCACCGCTTGGTCATGTGTGGGCTGAGCTGCTTTATTTAAGGGTATTGTATGCTGGTCAAGGTCAAGGTCAAGGTAAGTCCAGTTACCATAGGGAACAACTCAGATTTCCAAAAGATCTCAATCAAGGCTTGCTTCTCTGTCTTCATGTCTTTGTCTTCCCTGAGAGCCATCTTCCCTCCACCAGATTCCTGAGGCTTCCTGAGGGTATGACTGTGTGTTCCCTCAGAGTGGGATTCTCTGTCCTCTAACCCTGCCAGGGGGCCATGGTGCTTGATCCCTTGCTGGCCCCAGCCTCCCTTTCAGCTAGCTCCCTTCCTCTACCTGCCCTGCTTGGGGGTCCAGCTATGTGGGCCTACACTTTGTTTTCAGAGTCCAGCCTTTACTTTCTCTGCACCCGCGTCTTTGCTTGTGCAGTTGCCCGCTCCCTCACCCCTAAGAATGGCCACCTTCTATGCTTTAGGACTTATCTGAAATACCCTTCCACCGTGACCCCTTCTCCCATCTCCCCAGCCAGGATCGTGCCCCCCTGCAATTGTCCACCTCTAGAAGCTGCCGCTGTCAGCCACACATGATAGTTGATGTGGGATGTACAGATAAACTAGTGAAGCATCCGTCTTCAGGAGCTAACAGTTTCACAGGGGAAAATGGCATGAAACCAGGTAAATGCACCAATATTGGGCAGGAGAAGGGGGTCCTATAAGTAAAGCAAAAGGTCTGTAATTTGGACATGCACCAGATATTGCCAATGGGCTGAAGAAAGCTATATGTCTCACCATGTGTATTTCTCCTCTTCATATGTCTGTAGAATTTGTATGGTATTTAATAAAATAGAAATACTTTCCAGAGTGCTACTAAATGTAGAGCAATTTTTTGTCATTTTGTCTTTTCTGAGTCAATAGGTAGTAAAGGTACAAAATACTATCACGTGGAGATTTATGAAATGTTGGGACATTTAAAGGAGACTCACCCTTGAGGTCCTGAACTGTCCTCATTCCATGTCATTGACAGGACTTGTTCACTAGGACCACCCCTCTGCCAGCAGAGCTGGGCCTCACCTTGGTTTTGAAGCTCTCCACATCATCAAAGCCCACCCACTGGTTGTCCCGGAAGATGTAGGGCACCTTCTGATCCTGGATTCTCTGTTTGGTGGCCCCCTTCCAGGAGCAGACCTGTGGGAGCAGAAGGCAGCACTGGGGAGGAGGAGGGAGGCTCTTGCAGGCACCTTCCCTTCCTCACCAGGAGGAGACTAGAGATTGGAAAATTCCTGTCTGAGGAAGCCTGGAGAATCAGGAGGTTCTTTGCAGTGACCTAGAATTCTGGACTCAGCTTGAGGCACCTGGGCTTAAGGATAAATTCAAGATGGCATGGATGAGATGGAATTTACATGGCCAGAATTCTCTGCAATTGGCATCCTTACTCAGAAACGGTGGGAGAAGGAAACCTCTGTTCTCTCAGGCACCCCCTGACCCTCACAATACCCAGGGTGGTTATGGGTTTTCCTACTTCATAGTAGGCCAGCATCCCTCCTTCCTTGGTGAAGGGGCCTGGAGTGCCAGACCCTGTGGCTGGGGCCCCCACTCTGGTGTCTGATGAGGAGGCCAGTGTGAAGGAGCGTCCGTAGGTAGGCATGCCAAGGATCAGCTTGCTGGCAGGGGTCCCCTTCTGCAGCCACTGTTGCACAGCAGCATCCTGGTGGAAGAGGGCAGGGTTAATTTTCTCAGCCCTCAGCCTGGTTCTGATTATCTAAGTCTGGGGGATCCAGAGGCAGAGCTAGGAGGGCAGGGGCTCCTCAGCTGGAGCTCTACGGGCCTTTGTTAGGATTCCAGCCCTACCCCATCTTCTTTAGAGCCTGCCTTAGACCCGTGACCCCAGTGAAGAAGCTGCATGGCATGATAACCAGAGAGCGTGGGCTTCGGACGCAGACAACCATTCACTGAACAAATGTGTACTGATGGCCCACTGTGTGCCAGGCGCTGTCCATGGTGCTTCAGACACATCAGTGAACAAGGCAGACACAGATCCCTGCCTTACCCAGCAGCTTATTTAACCTCACTGAACCTTGGTGTTCTGTCTGTAACATGGAAATAAGGAAAATATCCATCTCTTAGGGCATTGTGAGAATTAAAGGTTATAATGCATGTAAAAGGTCAGCACAACGCAATAAAGGGTCGCTGTGGTCATCATCGTTATCATGATTGTTGTCTTAGTTTTACCCTGAGTACAAAAGCAGGGAATTGGGTCTGCTTTATTTATCTCTGTATCCTCAGTGTCTAGAATGACACCTGATGCTCAGATAGAACAAAGGCTTCCTTACCCACCTTTGAATAAGGCCTTCCCCTGATTATATATTACTTGGTGTAACACCCCCAGGCCTGTGACGGGAGAAGGTACCCGGTACAAGTATGATAAATTAATGAATAATGAAGCCTCATTCCTTAAGCCAAGAGTATGGTTCACTTTCCCCCAGAAGCTGCCCTAGTTTTGTCAGGTCTAGTTACTCTGAGCCCACTTAGCACTTAGGTAAAGAACAGCTTTCACTACATTTATTTAAATATATTTCTTTTTGTCCATCTATACAACTTATCTTTGATCAGATGGGTGCTTTCTGAAGGCAGAAGTCGGGGCTTCTCCTGATCTGTTATAGCACTTTTGTGCAAGTTGGGAAAAGTCACCCATCTGGTTAGAACCTGTCCCCGGGCACACTGTGTGGTGAGTAGAAGGCCTCTTTGTAGGAATAAGATGGCCTCCATTCCTCGGTGGATTCAAGGTACACAATGTGGAAAGCAGGGTGCTGGAGGGACTCCCACCCCACTCACCTCTCAGCTAAATTTCTTTCTGTGTCTCCCCACCAGCACAGGGATACAGCTTCCTCCAAAACTCACACAGTCTTCCAGACAGGGATGGAGAGGCCAGGCTCAGTGTGAAATGTGGGTGCCTGGCTCACTGGCTCAAAGAGGTGCTCTTTATTCATGAAAGAGCCAGAAAATCAAAGATGTCCCACTCCAGCTGACATACAGAGATGTGGGCTCTCCAAAAGTAAAAAGCATTTTAATTTAGGGCTTTTTCTTTGTTGTTTGGTTTTGCTTGTTTTAAGAAAGAAAAATAATGTAGTTATTATAAGCCCTCTCTGCAGGGTTTTATAAACCCTCTCTATATTTTAAGATATATAGAGGGCTTATAAAAAGGATCTAGGCTGGGCATGTTGGCTTGTGCCTATAATTCCAACACTTTGGGAGGCTGAGCCAGGAGGATTGATTGAGGGCAGGAGTTTGAGACCATCCTGGGCAATATAGCAAGACTCCATCTCTACAAACTTAAAAAAAATTAGCTGGTCATAGTGATCCCAGTTACTCAGGAGGCTGGGGCAGGAGGATCGCTTAAGCCTGGGAGGATGAAGCTGCAGTGAGCTATGATCATGCCACTGCATACCCTCCTTGGTGACAGAACAAGATTCTGTCTCTTAAGAATAAATATATAAAATTAAAAAAAATTAAAAGTGTCTTGATTGCTCAATGAGGAAAAGTTAGGAAACCCCAACCTACCCTAGTCTAAAAACCAAGCCTGCCCTTTGCAGGTGCTGGGAGTACTTCCACCCTGAGTGACATCTGCAGAGATGTTATCAACTTGGGAAAGCTCCTGTCCCTGAAAGGACCTTCCAGAAGGTCAACCAGTGTGACCATGGAGCACAAGTCTGCCCACTGTCTTGAAGGAAATGGGGTGGGGGTGTGTGAGGGAAGCAGCAGGCCTGCTGGCTGGAGACTCAAGCTCAAAGTGGGCTTCCCCATTGGTCACTTGTTTGTCATCAAACTGATTTGCTGCCTCTACCATCAGCCAAGATGCTCCACAGAAGTGAGGTTTCCCCTCAGCAGGGGCACGGACCAGGAAAATAGAACAAAACAAGCAAGCAAAGAAACAAAAAAGCTTCTTGTTTCTCAGTGCCCTGTGTCTTTTTTCCCATGAGGGCCTCGGGGCTCAAAAGAAGCCACCAAACAGGGCCTGCTGGACAGGGGAGTCCTGCCTCAGCCCTCCTGCCACACGTACCACGTTGAGGCTGGCTGCTGCACCACTCTCTTCTTGCCTCTTGTAGAGGGGGCTGTTATGTCCCGTGACCTTCTCCCAAGAGCCATGGAAGTCGTAGGCCATAAGGTTGACAAAATCCAGGTTCCTGCAGGAGGCATGGAAGAGGAGGTGAGAAACAAGGGATTGGGGGTGGGGTAGCCCTTCTTTCTCACTCCTACCCCCTCAGTGCATGGCCTAGGGAGGAACCACTGGGGTCAGAGGCAAAGGTGGCAGGCTCACCTGGCTCTGCAGAAGGTGACCCAGACAGCAGTCCCAGCCAGCCCCCTTATGAAGGCCATTCTCATTCTCACTCAAACTTGTCACCCTCACCCCACTGTCCCCTCAGCACCCCCAGGCCCTCCCTATTCCACTCAAGAAAACTCCTGCTACATTGCTATTCTGGAGGGAACTCTAGCTTAGGGTTTCTCCCACTTCAGTGTGCACACAGATCACCTGGGAATCTCACTAAAATGAAGGTTCTTCAGAAGGCCTGGGGTGGGGCCTGAGAGTCCATAATTCTAATGAGCACCTGGTTTTAATGAGGGCTGCGAGTCCACATGCTGTACTTTGAGGAGCAAGGATCCAGAAAACCCATTTTCTTGAAGACAATGGCTTCACTACCCACTCAGAGGCATTTTCACCTTAAGAATGAGTTCCCGAGGAAGAGGACAGAGATCCAAAATGAAGGATCTGGAACAGGGCAGCAGTGGACACTGAGCAAAGCCTTTCTGGATGTGTCTTAGTTTTACCCTGAGTACAAAAGCAGGGAATTTTCTGCTTTTGTTCTGGTGTAAGGATGGGACTTTCCAAATGCCTTGTAGATGAACACCTGCTCTACCCATGGGAAAGCTCAGTCTGCCCTTGGCCTCTCTTCCCTCAGAGAGCACAGCTCCAAGCCATCTGCCTGAGACTCACTGGGCGATTTTGTCCACCTCGTATCCAGCATCCACATAGGTCTGCCCAGCTGGAACCGCTGCACTCAGAAGAAGGCGTTCCTTCCCTGAGGTCTGGGCTTCCTGCTGGAAGGCATTGGCCAAGTCCTGTGGGAGTGGAGCTCAGAGTCAACACAGGGGCGCGCACCAGGCAGGCAGCCCCTGTGAGCCCCAGGTAGATGTTCACTTGTAGAAGTCTGAGAGCTGGCCACAGGGCTGATCTGTGCCATGCAGATACGTGAAGCAGCTGGCTCTGGGGGCAGAGCAGCCCCCACATGTGCTGTGGGGGCTCCAGCTCTGGGTCCCTGCACAGACTGGTGATCCCCGCCCCGCCCAGCCATACCTGTACCAGGGTTGTGAAGCGCTCCTTGTCTACGGCAGGGCTCCCCTGGCTTCCTGGGTACTCCCAGTCAAGGTCAAGGCCGTCAAAGCTGTATTTGCGCAGAAACCTGATGGCCGAGTTGACAAAGGTCTGACGGTTGTTGGCCGTGGCTACCATATCTGTGAACCTGTGAGGTGATGAAGGGGAGTAAGGGCCGGCCTTGGACCAGACAGGAGGCCACTCTTACTCAGAAGCAGGCAAGAAAACACTCAGGACAGTGCGTCTCTGTGTCTGGGCTAGGAGGGGCACTGGGAGGGCTGCTTCAGAGGCTGCAGGGATATTTGCTGGTGAGTTATGGTCCGGGTTGAGGAAAGGGGACCATCCAGAGCACTTTCTACCCCCGAACATCGACATCACCAGGGGCACATGGACACCCTAGGAGCCTTTCCCAAAATTCCCTCCAGAGGCTTCCTCCAAGCCCTTGAATTGTCCCACCCCAAACCAGAACTAGTTGACACCCTCAGAATGGAGGTTTGAAAAGAAAAGGAATTAGTTTCTCTAATTCCTCTTGTAAGGTTTTTCTTTAAGTAAGATTTTTCTCTAATTAGAATTTCTCTAATTCCTTTACTAAGGTTAGTAAAGACCTGGGGAGCCCACTGTTTTAGTTTCCTGGCAGGTTAACCTGGTCATCTTTCTTTTAACTCACACCCGTAGAGCGCTTTGTGTTTTTGTTGCTGTTACTAGTCCAGAGTTCGTCAAAATCCCCAAGCTGCCCCAAGAACCACCTCTCCACATCTTCCTTCCTTAGTGGGAAGTCCCTGAACTTCTTGAGGGGGTCTCAAGTTCTTTACAGATTGATCCTATTTTATTTTTATTAATTTAGTCCGAGGACACCAGGCTAAAAACTCCTGCTGCATTTCAATAAACAGTCTGTATATAAGCATTATTTTGGAAGATGAGTAATCACTTTCATCAGATTCCCAAAAGGGTTCATGATCCAAAAAAGTTTTAGAAAGACTGTTTAGAGCTTTGGGAGCCCTATATTCTGGATTTTCTAGAAAACACCAAGTTTCAAATACTCCATTCCATTTTCTCCATAAATCATTTAAAAAATGTCCCCCAAATGCCAATACTCTGGCATCCAGGCTCAATCTCACAGATTACCTTTTGTACTCAGAAGTGGAATAAACACTCTTTCTGGGACAAGGTACCCCATTTCTGAGCTCAGAAAACATAGACACTGCATGTTGTCAGGATTAGTTGGGACCCTCCCTCTTCTCATTTCATGGAAGACGAGACTGAGGCTTGGAGAGGTCTGAGCCCTCTGCTGTGTTTAGACCTATGCTTCTGGCAAGACTGGATCTGAAACAGCCTGGAGCAAAGCTCACTGTGCTGCCCTCCAGCTGAGGTGCCAAGAACCCAGAAGGAAATTCAGCCCTCAGAGTTCAGCTCCCCTCCCCTTTCCCCTGACCACACCTCAGCCTGGCCTGATTCCCTGACCAGGGCTCCCTCTGGCCAGTGCACCAGGTTCCCATCCAGGAGCTTTACCACACAGGTGACCACAGTCAACTAACTTCTGAGTGCCGAAATTCCAGCCTCCGATGGCTAACAGGGTCTTCAGCTTGGGATTCCTGGGAAAGACAGGAGACACAGCAGGATTTACTCTGCCAGCTCCCAGGGCACCCTGGCAGGGATGTTACAGTGGGGAGGAACAACAGGGGTGGGGACGTGTGAAAGTGCCTATGTGCAGAGACTGTATTAGGCATTCTGGGGACAGCTGTAGATTGGAAAAGGGAAGTCACGTTCCTGACTCACAGAACCACCTGTCTAACTGTGTGGGCTCAGGAAGCAAGGATTGGGGCAGATTCTCAAGAGGCTTTGTGAAGGCGCCCAGAACACTGGAGCTGAAGGGTGGATCAATTTCATAATGAGGAAGGGGCTTCATGGGAGACAGAAAGAGTCTCACAATCCTGATCACACTTAGACCTAAACTGGAAGGGACCTTTGGGATCCCCTAAGCAAACCCTACCTCTTTCATTAAGCACAGGAGAGCCCAGAGAGGTGATACAACTTGCCCAAAGCCACACAGTGGGTCTGTGGCAGGACCTTAGTGCTGGAGAGGTGTCTGGCTCTGGGAGGAGGTTATCTGTCACCCCACCACATCCCACCCACCCTGCTCCTCTGCTTTGGCTCACATCTTCTTCAGGCCATTGAACTCCTGGTAGAGAGTCTCGTCATTCCACTCAGTGGTGCTCAGCTGGTGGTTGGTCATGCCAGCGAAGGCGTAGATGAGGTGGGTGCAAAGGCTGGGGTCCAAGTCCTTGGGCAGGAAGCGAGCCTCCCCCTGTCTGTACTGGGCCCAGTTGGTGAAGTAGCAGACCAGTTTTGCAGCAGAGCCTGGCCCGTTGGAGTAAAGAAAAGGGATAGCTGTCAGCAGGACCTTCTGGGGACTGGTCACCCTCCATCTGGGGTAGGCAATGTCCTTGGACCTCCCTCTTCTACACCTGGAGTCAGTGGAGGGACCCGACAGGCAGAAATGGCATTTGCTTTTGTGTGGATGGAGTCTGGCAGTTGGGAAAGCATTTTCAGAGGCCAGACATGGGATCCTCAGAACACTGAGTGGGCAGGACCATCATCTTCTAAGCCTTCTTTTCCCGGGAAGCAAGTTGAGGCTCACGAGCTTGGGGCCCGTCCCCATCAGCATGGCTGCTAAGAGGGCAGAGCAGAGGTGCTGCGACCCAAGTCTCATGACTCCTTGACATCCTTGAAAGTTGCTAGTCTCAGAGTCCGAGCTCCCAGGATCAGGGTCTGGCAGGCAGGTCTCCCTATCCCCAGTTAGGGTCTCCCCTCCAGGCCCTGAAACCTGACAGAAGGTAGCCCCAGGCAGCCCCAACATGAGGCCTAGAGGGAATTAGACATGGCATGCTCATCTGCAGAAGGAAGGCAGGCAGAACTTTCAAAAACGGTTTGGAATACCTCAGAATACTTCGTTAAAATGCAAACAGATAAGTAGCAGAGAGGAGGCCCCAGTTACAGGCCTGGGTTTATGTTTCTTTAGTCTTGCATTAAAGCCATTTGCATTTGCTTGTTATCCCTTGTAGATAATCTACGTTTATCAATATCACTGCTGAGATTCTAATAGAGCTAATTTTATCTAGGAGAAGGCATCTTGTCTCTAAGTACCCCACACACTGTAGGGTACTTGTCTCTAGAGTACCCTACAGTGTGTGAAAAGACTTTGCAGGGGTGGGATGGTCTATTCCCAGTGAGGGCTCGGTGGTGATGACCCCCACTGAGGTCAGCCCTGTGCAGGGTTGACCAGGACACCAGGAAGCAAGAATGCTAGTCTTCATTCCAGCATCTGCCAAAAATAGACTTTGGGTCTATCTCATCTTCAATCCCGGCCCCATCTGATAATGACTGTGTGGTCTGTGGGGTCTCTTCCAGTCTCTCAATCTATGATGGTGTGGTTTGTATGAGCCAACATTTTATGCCAAGATCTTGATGGAGCAGTGAGTTTGGACTGGAGCGTGCCTGTGGCTGGTGTCTAGAACCTGGGACTTCCCTTTGCCCCAGCAGGGTCTGTCTGTACCCCCTCCAATGCCCACATGGACAGGGATGGGACGAGGAAGAGGAGGGGTGCAAAGTGTCTATAGGAGAGTTTTGGGAAGAGACCGCTCAGGCAGGCCTCAACTAGAACCCGAGAGCATGGAGGGCTGACCTTGGGCATACACGTGGCCCCGGAGTGGTCACTGTCTCTAACCAGAGGTCACCCAGGAGTGCAGCTTGCTAGTGGGGCTGGGGTGTAGCCTGCAATGATACAGGAGAATTGGTGAACTCCCCAAAGGAAAAGAAAGGAAGGAGGGGATGAAACCAGATAACTCATCCCCCAGGCCATGTAGGAAGGAGCCAGGAAGCTCTTTTTCTATCATGTCATGCTGTCGCATATCAAATATTGTTATGAATTTCTGTACTATGGAGAAAATAAAGTGCAGTGGTTAACAGCAGGGACTCTGGCATGTCAGTGTCTGGGTTGAAATCCCAACTTTGCAACTTACTCGCTGTGCGACTCAGCTTCCTCCTGTGTGAAACGGGGAGACCATTGGACCTTCCACAATGTGTGTCACAGGACCCCAGTGTGGGCTAAAGTTAATATATGTAAAACACTCGGAGGAACACTGCAAGGAAGAAGTTCTGTTCTAGGTGCTTCACATATATTAACCCTTAGTCCACACAAAGTCCTACTATTATTACTATACTGCAGAAAGCCCAGAAGTAGCCTGGACTAAAGCTTTTTGAGAAATCTTCCACCTCTCATCTTCCCCATGTTTGCTGTTTCTGTGCCCCCGGCTGTTCCATCCTATGAGGCTGAGAGGGAAATGTACCTCCAATGCTACAGCCCAGCGTGAGAGGCACAGTCGCAGGACAAGTTCTGAGAGGCCAGCATTCCCAGGCCACTGATGCCCAGGGAATGGGGTGGGACAAGACGGGGACCAGGAGTTCAAGTTGCTGAAGGTCCCCCAGGTCTCTTTTCCATTTGACACAACAAGGAGCTCCCTCCTGCCTCTCTCAAGCTCCACATCTGATCAGTTCAACAGACCAGAAGCAAGTGTGTTGTCCTCGCAGAGCTAAGGGGCTGGGGATGCTGAACCAGATGAGACTTAGGTTCCTTACCTGCAGCAACTTGGAGTCTGAGACTGGTGCAGAGAGACACCTAAGCCAATAATGAGAGGCAGTACTGTACTGTAAAACACACAGGTGCTGCAAGAGCACAGAGTGCAGAGGAGGGAGCCAGCAACCCCAGGAAAGGAAAGCCCTGAAAGAGGCTGATGCGCAAGCTGGCCCCACAGATGTGCAGGAGCTCAGCTAATGGATAAGGAGGCAAGAGCCTTCCTGGGAGGGCTGGTAGCAGATGGGGACATTTGCAGGGGTCTGAGCTTTGGAAGAGAGTCCCCACTGAAATCTGGAGCTCTTGGGGAGGTCTGGCAGGGAAGGTGTTTTGGGACATTAAGCAGAGCCCAGGGAAGGGGCTGAGGCAGCCAAGAAAGAGGCTACTTACCCCATGGGATCATCAGCAGGACCATGAAACCTGGAGCAACACAAGAGAGAAGGCCAGGGTTATGCTGCCATTCTCACCTTCCCAGGCCCCACAGCTTACGGAAGCACAGGAGGTGGTCAGGGAGGGCTGATTTCATACAAATCAAGCTTTCTCCTTTCAGAAGGGACCCAGGAGGGCACTGTGCCCATCCCTTCATGCAGACCAGACCACGGGGGTCTCTTCCTGGCCTGGGTTGGTCCTAGAAGCTGATGGAAAGTTCCATGGGCTGAGGCTGCCCCCTCTCTATACCTCAGTAAAGGGCAGTGTGGATTCAGGAAGATTGTGGAAAAACTGCTGACTTGTGAGTTATTTAGAGAGATAGTTTCTCTTTCGGAACAAGAAACAAGCCTGTTTTGGGGCTAGAAAGAATCAATCTGGAAGGGCTGCATGGAGAGAGTTCATCTCCTGGGGAGGGCCTGTGCCTCTGCTCCCATCGTTTATGGCTTCCTGTTGCCTTTCCGCTACCTGGCTGTGGTAGGCAACCACAGCCTTGGAGACCTAGGGTCTGACAGGACTCCTTCGAAGAGATCTCTTTCACCTGGTGACCTTGGACTTCTCTGTCAACCTAATAGAACCTCCATGAAAATTTGCAAGGATGCCCAGGATCTTGGCCCCAGGCTGCCCTCTTGCAGGACAGACAATATGAGGTTGGAGAAGAGGTTCTTGGCAGTGGGCGCTTCTTGGATAAGGCCAACAGGAGGGACCTAAGAACATGGGAAAGACACAAAGACCCAGTGCAGGGGCCTCATTGACTCTGGGCTTTCAGGACAGAGAGAGGAAAGTCAAGTCATCTTCAGCCTGTTGAGAAAAGCCTTCCCTTGCAACATGAAGTCTCTTGGGCTGAAAGAGCCTAAGGGGGAGCCCACAGGAAAGGTAATCAAGGGACTGCAAGCCAGGAGGCATGGAGAGGGATAAAATGACCCTCTGAAGTTCTCCTGAGTCCTCCTGCTTCCTTGCAAATGGTAGCAAGTGGTCCCTGAACATCCACATCCCCACCTCCCCACAGCTCCCGAGACCCAGCCCACTATCCGACGGCTCACCTGCCCAGGCCACAGACCGCACCATGATGCAGCTCAGCGGCAGGCTGCAGCCCATACAAACCAGCTTTCCAGGTCCTGCTCTGCTTTTATCTGGCCACCCTGTCCCACCCCAGCCAGGAGTGTTGCAATCAGGGGCACTGGGTGGGGGGGATGGGAGCAGGGTGGGGAGGGGTAAGATGTCAAGCAGCATGAATTGGGCAAACTTGACACAATGGCCTTTAGCAATTCTTGCTTTTCTGGAACAATCAGAGGGTGACTCTTAGTGTTGCCAAACAGAGGAAAGCGGGAAGTGGCCCTGAACCTCCTGATGGATGAGCATGACCCTGACTTTCTTTGTGTAGTTGGTGAGGACCATAAGCAGCCCCAGACTTAATAGGGCTTTGGAGGAAGAGAAATGACTCACGAGTCAGGCAGCTGGGTTCCAGACCAGCTCTCTTGCTTCTCCACTGCCCTCTCTCAAACTGTTTCTCCATCTAGAAGATAATGGGGTTGCAAATATAATTTACTTTTCATGATAGTAATAGTTGCATATCCATTGATGGAGAAAAATAGATAATGATAAATAGTGACTATAAGTTTGGTAATGGCTTGAAATGCCTATGTTTCTTATGAAGAATAATAATGGTGGACATTTGGGCCAGGCATGGTGGCTTACACATGTAATTCCAGCACTTTGAGAGGCCGAGGCAGGTAGATCACCTGAGATCAGGAGTTCGAGACCAGCCTAACCAACATGGAGAAACCCCATCTTTACTAAAAATACAAAATTAGCCTGGCATGGTGGCACATGCCTGTAATCCCAGTTACTCGGGAGGCTGAGGCAGGAGAATTGCTTGAACCCAGGAGGCGGAGGTTGTGGTGAGCCGAGATCGCGCCACTGCACTCCAGCCTGGGCAACAAGAGTGAAACTCCATCAAAAAAAAAAAAACAAAAAAAAAAAAACAGAAGAATGGTGGACATTTGTGTCGGTTTCCCAGAGCTTCTGTAACAAATGGCCACCAAACAGGTGATTTGAAACAACAGAAGTTTATTCTTTCACAGTTCTGGAGGTCAGAAGCCTGGAAACAAGGAGTTGGCAGGGCCATGCTTCCTCCGAAGGCTCCAGGGGCGAATACTTCCCAGCAGCTTCCAGCTTCGGATGGCCTGTGGCATTCCTGGGCATGCAACGGCATCGTTCCAGCCTCTGCCTGCCTCCATTTTTACACGCCCTTCCTCGCTGTGTCTCTGTATGTCCCCTCCTTTCTGTCTCTGAGAAGGACATTCTAATCCAAGATGATCTCATCTTGAGATCTTTACCTTCATTACATTTGCAAAGACCCCTATTACAAATACAGTCACCTTCTGAGATTCCAGGTGAAGTTATCCTTTGCGGGGGGTGGGAGGGGGTCACCATTCAATTCACCACAGGACCCAAGTGGGCACATATTACTGTAATGTCTGCAGACAATGTCTGGTGTATGCATGAACTCCAGGGTCCCTGAGAAAGCTCTGCAGTTTCTAGGGGATCCAGTCTTTGGCCGGTGGGCTTAACATGAATGGCCTAGATGGCCACGTGGGAATATTGGGTGCGGCAGGCTGTGGAGTTAGGTTCCTGAGTTTGAATTCCTCCTCTGCCATTTACTATCTGTGTAAACTGAAGTGAGTTCCTTAATTTCCCTGAACTCCAGTTTCTTCATCTGTAAAGGGGAATCCTCAGAGGACTGTTGGGAACGCACTCCATGGTGGCTGCTATTATTCCTGGTTCTGCCAAGTGCTGCCACTTCTGCTGGTCTAGGGGTGTCAGAGGGCTCTAGTAACCTCTTCGAGGCCCCTGAGAGTGTTGGACCTCAGCACTCAGATGGACCAGCCCTAAGTCCTCCCTTTCCCTGCTGCAGTCATGGCTTCTGTTTCTGCTGTGGTCAGCCCTTTCTCTTGGGGATCCTGCAAAAGAGCCTGTTCAGGGTCACCTGAGATGTGCAGAGGTGCCTCAGCTCCTTGGTGGTGGGGGAGTGAGAGTGGGATGCAGGAGTGAGGACTGGGAGGTCCTGAGCCTCGGGGAGGAGAGGCTTCTCTGGAGAGTTAGGGGCCACCTTATCTCGCCCCCGCCTCCATATACACAACTGACCTGTCAGTTTCATGAATTTCTCGCTATGCCTCATGTCCCCAGGAGGACATGCACTGCAGTGCCCAGAATCTGAGTTTCTCCAAACACTGCCCCATCCCCTATTGTCTTTAGGTTTTCTAGAAAAACAGATCAAAAATAATAACAGAGTTTGGTAATATGGCTGGATTTAAGGTGAATGTACAAAAATGAATAGCTTTTCTCTACATTAGCAATAACCAATTAGAAATAGAAGTGAAGGAAATGTCTGATTCACAGAAGTGTCAAAATCTATAAAATATTTATAAATAAATTTAATAACAATAATAAGTTTAATAGTAGAATCTATAAAACTTACCCACAGGATATAAATTTGCAATAGGATCTGAACATGTTCTTGCACGGGAAAACAATATCATAACAAATGTCAATTTTTGTCAACTAAAATACAAAACCAGTAATGATGGTGACACACTATACAAAACTTATTATAATTCCATTGGGATTAAAATAGCATGGAATTGCCACCAGGACAGACAAACAGAGGTAGGTCTGAGCATATATGGAGAGGGTGTGTGCAATGAAGGTAGCAGTTCAAATGAATAAGAAAAAGATGTTTTATAAATGCCAATGACTTAATTGTCTACCAATCTGGAAAGAATCAAAGTTAGGCCCCTCACACCATATACAGCAGAAATGACACGTGGTAAATGAAGGTGGGCACAGGGAGCAAAGGAGCTCAAGGAGAAACACCAGCCAGGGTGGGGTGGGAAAGCCAGTGGAGTGATGCTTGAACAGAGCTTTGAGAATAAGTAGGTTGCTGGACAAAGAGAGAAAGGGAAGGAAGTTATAACAAACACACCAGATGTTCACTGATGGAGCCTCTCAGTGAGGAAACTGCCCACGATACATGCAGGGACAGTGGGACATCATTAAAAACTCTGTGTCCTGTCGGTTGAGAACCACTGGTTGAGGTAGGCAGGTGGGGGTGATCTCTGCTGAGGGGCTCTGTGTAAAAGGGCACTGGACATGGCTGGAGGGAGAGGAGAGAGATACAATGCCTTGCCAGCCTGGATTTATTTTACAGTATGCCTCAGTCTAGTAGGGCACATCCTGGGCTCACCTGATGGCCAGACCTGAATTGCAAGATTTCAAGGAATAAGTCCCTGCCTGGAGGCTGAGACCTGGGAGCAGAAGGCAGGCCCATGTCCACCAAAGCTGGGGAGGAGCCTTCCCCAGGGACTGACCCAGAGTTCCCACCTAAGTAGGCAGGTCCCAGCCACCAGTACAGATTGCCCATGTGTAGAACTGAGAGGTCTCTGATGCCTTCAGCAAACTTCAATTAACAGCCCACCACACCTTTGCTCCTAAATTGTGTCCCTCCTGGGGCTGCCCTCCCTGGCCCTCAAGTCCTACAGAGATCACTCTGAGTTAAGCCTTGCCTCTTCCACAGTCAATGTACTCCATACTACCTTCTGCTATCTTGGAACAACTCCTTCCATCCAGAATAGGAAAGAACCCTGGCTTGGAGACAGACAGAACTGGGTGTATCTCAATGGATATCACCAATAAATTACTTTCATAGATTTTATACTCTCCTTTCCAGCCCCATTGGCTTCTCCCACCCCTTTCTCAGCCACTGCCAAAGCCCAAACCAAGTAAAACCAGTGTGCTTGATATAAAATGAGGCTTCAAAGCAAGTCCCCGTCCCACCCTACTGCAGAGCAGATGCCTGTATAGAAATTCTAAAGCTTCTGCTGATTTGCATCCAACCTGGCTGGCTGAGCTGGGGCTAGTCACAGCCTCTCCAAGCCTTGGTTTTCTCATCTGTAAAATGGGGATAATACTACCTATCTTATTTGGTAATGATGTGGATCGAATAGATAATGTGTGAGAGGGCTTTGTAGGTGGGAGGACGCCAGCCAGATCTCATGGGACTGCATCTTGATGGTTGGTATCACACCTTTTTCTCTTGCTTCATGTGAGCATCTCATCTCTGTAGCTGGACTGTCCATAGCCAGGCAGAGTGGGGCCTCTCTCCACACCTCTCTATGTGTCCCTCAGCACCAAGCATACAGGGGGTCTTCAATTAATGTTTGTTAACTGTTCCTTCCCACGTCCCACCGTGTTCTTCCCCTTAGCAGTAAAAGACATCACCACCTATCCGGGTCTCCAAGTCACCCAGGAAGTGTCCTTGATCCTTCCCTTTCCTCACCCTCAATGATCAGGACCTATTAGACATCCTGCCTCCTGCTCCATCTCCTCCACCTCCTAACCACCGTCAACTCCCACCCTGTCCCCAGAAGAGCCTCCTACCTGCCTTCCTTCCTAATTCTCTTGCCTCTGCAATCCATTCTCCACACAGCAGCCAGAGTACACTTTGAGAAACTTAAATCAGATCCTGTTGCTTTCCTGCTAAGACCTTGCAATGGTTCCCACTTAAAATAAAATATCAACTCCTTAACTCTACCTCTAGAACACTCTAACTCTATTCTTTCATTAGGACAATGTTCTTTCAAAGGACACCTTCTTGGCAGGGAAGATAATTTATCACTGGACATAACTAAATTAAAAAAACAAATTTTTGAAGCCTCTCAGGCTCACTTATCCATTGTGCCTGGAGCTGAGGCGTTAGATCAGGTGGCAGAAAATCTTTATGGACTAAACCCCACGACTTTGATTAAGTCTATTGGAGGCCCCACTCTAGTAAATTTTGGAATTATGTTTCTCTGTTTAACCAGCTTGTCTTTAGTGTGTCAGACAAGTCAAAGAATCCTGCATCAAAATCGAGAGAATGAACAAGCCTTCATCGCCATGGCACATTTATATAAAAAGAAAGGGAGAGATGTTGCGGGAAGTCAGGGACCCTGAACGGAGGGACCGGCTGAAGCCATGGCAGAAGAACATAAATTGTGAAAATTTCATGGACATTTATTAGTTCCTCAAATTAATACTTTTATAATTTCTTACGCCTGTCTTTACTGCAATCTCTGAACATAAATTGTGAAGATTTCATGGACATTTATCACTTCCCCAATCAATATTCTTGTGATTTCCTATGCCTGTCTTTACTTTAATCTCTTAATCCCGCCATCTTTGTAAACTGAGGATGTATGTTGCCTCAGGACTCCGTGAGGATTGCGTTAACTGCATAAATTGTTTAAACAATATGAAATCTGGGCACCTTGAAAAAAGAACAGGATAACAGCGATGTTCAGGGAACAAGGGAGATAACCATTAGGTCTGGCTGCCTGACAGCCAGGTGGGACAGAGCTATATTTCTCTTCTTTCAAAAGCAAATAGGAGAAATATCGCTGAATTCTTTTTCTCAGCAAGGAACATCCCTGAGAAAGAGAATGCATTCCTAGGGGGAGGTCTCTAAAATGGCCGCTCTGGGGACATCTGTCTTTTACTGTTGTAGATAAGGGATGAAATAAGCACCAGTCTCCCGTAGCACTCCCAGGCTTATTAGGATGAGGAAATTCCTGCTTAATAAATTTTGGTCAGACCGCTTGTCTGCTCTCAAACCCTGTCTCCTGATAAGATGTCATCAATGACAATGCATGCCCGAAACTTCATTAGCAATTTTAATTTCGCCCCGGTCCTGTGATCTCGCCCTGCCTCCATTTGCCTTGTAATATTTTATTACCTTGTGAAGCATGTGATCTTTGTGACCCACACCCTATTCATACACTCCCTCCCCTTTCGAAAATCACTAATAAAAACTTGCTGGTTTTGCAGCTTGGGGGGCATCATGGAACCTGCTGACATGTGATGTCTCCCCCGGACACCCAGCTTTAAAATTTCTCTCTTTTGTACTCTTTCCCTTTATTTCTCAGACCGACTGACACTTAGGAAAAATAGAAAAGGGCCCACGTTGAATATTCAGGGGCGGGTTCTCCTGATACCTTTGCACCTGCCATTGCCTCTGCCCACAATGTTCTTCTCTGTGATCTTCACACAGCTGGCTCCTTCTCCTCATTCATGCTTTTCCTGACCACTCATAGAAAGTAGTGCCCTCCCCTCAAGTCACTCTCTGTTCTCTCCTGATGATTTATTTTCTCCTAAGTACTTTCATGGCTGAATTCATTCATTCATTCATTCATTTGTGTGTAGTGTCTGTTTCCTACCACTAGAATGTAAGCTTCATGAGAGGAGGGACTTTTCTTGTTTAGTCCTCTTTGTCTAGTACCCAGAATATTTCCCAGCACATAGTAGGTGCTTAATCCATATCTATTGAATTAATTAATTAATTAATGTGACCTCTCTGCATGATCTGGCCCACTATGATATTGTGATATAAGAAATGTATATTTGGTCTTTGTCCCCAATTTCTGGCACGGAGCTCCTAAAACCCTTAAAATTTCTTGAGAAATAGGGGTTCTAGGTGCATCTCTTGTTCTAATGTTTAGCCTTTGACCCTAGTTTTGACACAGAACTCCTAAGCCCTTGGAACTTCCTGGGTACTAGGAGCATCTTTTGTTCCAAAGAGGTGCCTCTTTGTGGGCATCTGGAGGGGGGTTGGTCACCAGAAAGACCAAGCCATGATGAGAAGTTTGGAACCTTCAGCTCCACCCCCCATCCTCTGGGAAGGGGAGTGGGGCTGAAGACCACGTAATCATGCTTATGTGGGGAAGCCTGCATAAAAGTCCATTAACTAGGCTGGGTGCAGTGGCTTATGCCTGAAATCCCAGCACTTTGGGGTGCAGAGGCAGGAGGATTTCTTGAGTTCAGGAGTTTGAGACCAGCCTGAACAACCTTGACCTCCTGAACAACTAGGTCTCAACCTAGTGAGACCCCCTTTCTACAGACAAACAAACAAACAAACAAACAAACAAAATCCATGATCCATGGGGTTTAAAGAGCTTCAAGGCTACTGAACACATGGAGAGAGGAGAGCAGCTCCAAGCCCCTTCCCATCTTCCTCGCACTATGCATCTCTTCCATCTGGCTGCTCCTCTGTATCCTTTGTAATATCCTTTAAATCAATGGGTCAATGTAAGTAAGTGTTTTTGTGAGTTCTGTGAGCTGCTCTAGCAGAGGAAGAGCAGAGGAAGGGCGTCATGGGAACCCCAGTTTTTAGCTGCTTGATTGAAGCACAGCTCACCACCTGGGACTTGTGATTGGCCTCTGAAGTGGGGGCAGCCTTGTGGGACTGAGCCCTCAGCCTGTAGATCTGACTCACTCCAGATGGATAGTGTCAGAATGGAATTAAATTATAGGATACCCTGTTGGTGTCTGCTGGAGAGTTGTTTGGGTGTGGAGAGAAATCCCCACACCTCTGGTCTCAGAAATGAAGTATGGAGAGTGAGTGTGAGAATAGTAGAATACAGTCAGTTTGTGTGTTTTTCCATTAGGCCACCCGCCTACCTCTCAGCCTTGTGCTGGTCACGCCACCCTGAGCACCCCAGTTCTATTTCATGAACGTGAGTGTGTCAAGCCTTTTCCAATCTCAGGGTCTTGGCACAGCACCCTTTGCCTGGGATGTGTTCTCCTTCTCATTCTCATCCTCCAGGGCTGGTCTCTGCTGTCACCTCCTGAAGAGGCTTCCCTATATCTGCGTATTTCTCCATGGCAGGGCAGTTCTGCTACTCTCTCCTGAAAAGGTGTTTATTTTTCCTCCCCAGACCTTATCCTAATTTGCAATTACATATTTATTTTGTGAGCTTACGTATTTAATGTCTGTAACTCTCTCTAGACTGGAAGCCCCAAGAGCAGTGACCGTGTCTCTTTGTTCATTGCTGTGCACCAAAAACCAGGTGCCTGTATAAAGAACTGACCTCAATAGACATCTGTTGAATGAGTTGATTATTGAATACTATTCCTTCAACATCCCTTGTAACTCAACGTCAAGTGCTTAGTAAGAAGCTGGTTGATGTGAGAAGTGCATACCACCCCTTAAGACCTCTTAATGTATTAGCAGAAGCTATGCTCCCCATATTGCAGTGGAAGAAAGAGAAGCCAGGGAATTTGCAAGCCTTCCAGAGCTAAAGTGGAGGTTTCCAGGTTCTTCCCTTTCCATTTGGTTATCTTTGGACAGGCCTGGCTCCCAGGCAGAGGTGGAGCTAGTGGCTGCAGGCTGGTGTGGGCTTCAGTCATGGTGAAACTCATATCCTGGAGTCAGGGCACTCTCTGGGGACAGAAAGCACCTTGAATCCTCTCTGGCCACGTGGATTCTGGCCTTGCATGTCTAAACATCAGCCTGTTTCCTGTTTCCAGTGGACCATATCCCAGTGGTAGTTGTTTCTTTCACCATTAACAGGTTTGAGCCTGAAGCAGTTGGCATGTAGTGGGCAGTAGAACTAGAAGGGGAGAGTCAGGCCTAGGTCATGATATGGGCCAGGACTGGAAGTACAACCCATTCAGACCCCTACACCTCTCCCTGACCTGCTGTCTTCAGATACCTGACATTCTGCATGGACTCCTTCCCTCCTCCCCACCTCCTTCTCTCTGTCTCACCCCCTTTCTCTCTGTCCCTCTCTTTTTTCTCTCCTTTCTTTATTTCTACACATAATTATTGTTGTACAATAATAATGTCCCATTGCAGCATTTCTTAAAATAGCATAAACCTAAAACTGCCTTAAGTGTCACCAACTGGAGCCTGAAATTCCATACGTCATTAAAATGAAACAAAAATGTCCTCAATATATTGTTAAAGGAAAAAAGCAAGGTGTACCCATTTCGTGTGGCAGATTGAGCATAGGTATTTATCTCCACTCTCTCCTGAAATCCCTTGAAATCACAGTTAAAGGAATAAAATGGTATAAATCTACTAGGACAAAGCAAACAGAAGAGGAAATTAAAATAGATAAGAGATGCCAACAAATGTTTGGAAGGTGAAAACAGAATGAACAGGTGAAACTGTTTGTGACAACAGAATGAACAGGTGAAACAGGCTTCACAGACCTGAAAAAGCTGAAACCTTGGTCTTTCATGTGGGGCCTCTTTCCTCAAATGTCTGGTGATCAGGCTGCAGGTGGGGAAGCCCACAGGAAAAAAGAGAACTCAGGCCAAAGGACCCTGAAAATGTGCAGGAGTCAGCAGAAAGTTGCCAAGTGGGCTAAAGCTGACAACAGTAAGTGTGGGTGACCTGTTGGACCCCTGGATCTTCTTCATCCCCATTAAATATGGGGATGGTCCAGAGGGACTGAAGACTCAGTAATACCTGGCCCAGCAGAGGATGGTGTGGGGGCTGTAGTGGGTGGGGAGGGTGTTAGACTGAAGACTGAGAAGAAGGACTGAGGAATTAAATGAAAGTCTGTACATGGGATGCTCAGAACTTCCAGGCTTTCCCCCCGCTAGGCTCCCAGAGCCCCAGTAAGAGGACTGAAAAATTCCTCTCAAGGAAAAGCTGGCCAGCCTAAGAGAAAAGTTACCAAAACTCAGACTACCAAACTCAAATGACATTTGAGGGCCCCCAGCAGAACAGCCAGGTTCTTCTCCATCACCCGAAGGTGGGGACCTTGGATAAGAAGCCCACCAAGCCTCTAGAGCTTCCAGTGGGCTTCTGTTGACTCATATGGAACCAAAAGCCTGGTGACTAGACATTCGAGGAAAGAGTCCCCACAGGAAAGACCAAAATAAAAAAAGAAGGAACTCAGAGAAATCAGAGTGGGCAGCTCCCAGCGATTCTGACTTTCTAACCTCAAACGACTATATTCTGCCCATTAACAATGCATTACTTTCATTCTTAAAAATTACTTTATGATAATCAATGGGCATAAAATTTCAGTCAAGCAAGATGAATAAGCTCTAGAGATCTGCTGGACCACACTGTCCCTACAGTCAGCTATATTGCATTGTATACTTCAAAATTTAACAGGGTAAATCTCATGTTAAGTGTTTACCACAAGTAAATAAAAAATTTTAATATGCTGATTCATTGCACACTTTCTAGGTAACAGGTGCTTGCCAGGCACTGGGGACCCTGAGATGAATTCACAGTCCCTGTCCCAGTGGGGTTTATAGCCTGCAGCGTTAAGCATTGCTTTTGGCTGGAGTGATTTCTCAAAAGGCAAATCCCCTGAGCGGTGCAACCCTCTGAGTTATTTACACCTCAGCCTGTTTTCACCAGGAGGAAGAATTTTTGGTCTCCACCATGGGCCCTGCAGTTTTTCTTATCTTCCCCCACATTTTTTGAAGCTGAGACTCCTCATCACTCAAGGTTTTAAACATGCCAAGGCAGGGGGCTTTAGCTTGGGGCCTTGGGCCAGGGCCTGCTGGTCCCTGTGAGGTGGGTTCTACCTGGCCTCTGGGGACCCAGGCAGGGAGGACAGGTCTAAGAAAAGACCCTTGTGGGGGCATCTTGGCCCTAGGTTTTCTCAACCCCCACTCAAGGACTGTGCCCAGGGTTCTATTTCTGGGCTTCCACCCACTCCCTGCCTGCTGACTAAATGACTCTAAGTAATCTGTTTCCTCTCCCATGGGTTCCCCAAGATCATCATGGGATGTACTATCACAGGGTCTGAACTGGGCTGGGCGGGGCTGGGCCTGACGGGACACGCTACACATTGTGTCCTTGTGTACTTGTGTACTTGTTTACTCTAACATCTAGGTATTTGAGGGTTCTTCTTTTAAAAATTAGCATTGTCAAAGCTTTGTCTGTTTCATTCATCTTTTAAAGGAAAAAGATCATATATTTACTAAAGGATTCTATAACTTTTAATAAACTGGCAGAAATACTTAAATGGTGACAGTGATGAATTGCTTGAGAGTTAAAAACTCCTGGGTGCCCAGTCTGAAAGAGAGACACACAGTTTTGTGGATTTTACCTCTAGAAGTCCACCAAGTTCTCATGTTGAAGACTGGAAAAAAATATCCTCATGTTACCTGCAAGAGGGAGGGGGAAAGTAATATCTTAAAATATTCCCAGAGCATCTTGTATAACAAAGGCTTGCCCTCCAAGGGAAATTACTTTACCGGAGCCTTATCTTACCTGGGGAAAAATCCACTAGCCCTGTAGCCATCCTGTATCATGTAAGGATAGAAAACACAAAGGTTAAGAAATTATTTTGTAATGCTAAATGACGAGTTAATGGGTGCAGCACACCAGCATGGCACATGTATACATATGTAACTAACCTGCACATTGTGCACATGTACCCTAAAACTTAAAGTATAATTAAAAAAAAAAAGAAAGAAAGAAATGCAGGCAATCTAAAAAAAAAAAAAAAAAGCAATTATTTTGAAAGTCATGGCCCAGGGACTCAGGTCCAGTAAAATACTGAGATTTAATCATAAGATTATAGAACTCTCGACTGGGCGTGGTGGCTCACGCCTGTAATCCCAGCACTTTGGGAGGCCGAGGTGGGTGGATCACGAGGTGAGGAGTTCAAGACCAGCCTGGCCAACATGTTGAAAACCCTGTCTCTACTAAAAATACAAAAATTAACTGGGCATGGTGGTGCACGCCTGTAATCCCAGCTACTCAGGAGGCTGAGGCAGGAGAATCACTTGAACCTGGGAGGCAGAGGTTGCAGTGAGCAGAGATGGTGCTGTTGCCCTCCAGCCTGGGCAACAGAGCGAGACTCCGTCTCAAAAAAAAAAAAAATTATAGAACTCTTGCCCTCTCCAACAACTTACCACTACATCAACAAGGCTCCAGCATAATAACTGTATACAAATTCAGAAAGCTGCAAAACACAGATCTTATTTTTTAAAGAAATACTAAACAATGTAGAACCAGTTTATAGAAAATTAAGTTGGAAGTGTCATTTCTCAGCCTTATCTTCCGTTACCTCCCTGTATCATCTGCACTGTTAGCCACTCTTGTCTCAGCAGAAGGTCTTCCCTTGTCTTTCATGACTTCATATTCTCACCCTGGCTGTTTCTCCTCAGATATCACTTTAGGCTGCGTTTCTTTTTACAGTCTCTTTTTTTTTTCTTCAACTTTTATTTTAAGCTCAGGGGTACATGTGTAGGATGTGCAGGTTTGTTACATACTGTAAACGTGTGCCATGGTGGTTTGCTGCACAGATAATCCCATCACCTAGGTATTAAGCCCAATATCCATCAGCTATTCTTCCTGATGCTCCTCCTTCTCCCAGCCCCCCACCACTGGCAGACCCTAGTGTGTGTTGTCCCCCACCCCATGTGTCCATGCGTTCTCATCATTCAGCTCCCACTTATAGGTGAGAACCTGTGGTGTTTGGTTTTCTGTTCCTGTGTTAGTTTGCTGAGAATAATGGCTTCCAACTCCACCCACGTCTCTGCAAAGGACGTGATCTCATTCCTTTTTATGGCTGCATAGTATTCCATGGTGTATAGGTACCACATTTTCTTTATCCAGTCTATAACTGACAGACATTTAAGTTGATTCCATGTCTTTGCTATTTCGAGTAGTGCTGCAATGAACATGCGTGTGCATGTATCTTTATAATAGAATGATTTATATTATTTTGGGCATATACCCAGTAATGAGATTGCTGAGTCAAATAGTACTTCTGCTTCTAGGTCTTTGAGGAATCGCCACACTGCCTTCCACAATGATTGAACTCATTTACACTCCCACCAACAGTGTAAAAGCCCTCCTTTTTCTCTGCAACCTCGCCAGCATCAGTTTTTTGACTTTTTAATAATAGCCATCCTGACTGGTGTGAGATAGTATCTCATTGTGGTTTTGATTTGCATTTCTCTAATGATCAGTGATGTTGAACTTTTTTTCATATGTTTGGTTGGCTCCATGTATGTCTTCTTTTGAGACGTGTCTGCTCATATCCTTTGCCCACTTTTTAATGGGGTTGGGTTTTTTCTCTTGTAAATTTGTGTAAGTTCCTTGTAGACTCTGGCTATTAGACTTTTGTCAGATAGATAGAATGCAAAAATTTTCTCCCATTCTGTAGGTTGTTCACTCTGATGATAATTTCTTTCGCTGTGCAGAAGCTCTTTAGTAAGACATAGACCCTATTTTAAGAAGGAATTATAAGGGAAACCCAAAGATAACAGGGGAGGATAAAAAAAATTAACCAAACCAGAAAACTGGAGGAAACAGGAGCCTCTGGCACTTACAGCTCAGGAAACTAGGGAAAGAAGAGCAATGTAATCCTAAAGCAAGCAGAAAAAATAAATAAAAATTAGGGCAGAAACCAATACAACTGAAGAGAGGAAATCAATGAAACCCCAAGCTAGTTCTCAGAAAAGATCAATAAAATTGATAAACCTCTAGCCAGGCTAATCAAGAAAACCTAAATTACCGATATCAGAAATGAAAAACAGATAATCACCACAGATTCCATGGAAATTAAAAGAATGATGAAGGAATATTATGAACAACTCTATGCCCATAAATTTGATAATTTAGATTGAGTCAATTCCTTGAATGATACAAACTAAAACTCACACAAGGGAAAATAGATAATCTGAATAGGCCTATGTGTATTAAAGTAATTGAGTCAGTAATTATTAATAATAACGTCCCAAAAAAGAAAGCTCTGGGGCTGGATGGGTTCACTGATGAATTCTAACAAATATTTAAAGATAAAATTATGCTAATTCTCTATAATCTCTTCCAGAAAATAGAAGCAGGGTAAATACTTCCTAACTTATTCTGTGAGATTTGCATCACCGTAATAGCAAAACCAGATAAAGACATTAGAAGAAGTAAAATTATAGGCCAATATTTCTCATGAACATAGACATAAAAATCTCCCAAAAAATTAGCAAAATATTATAAACCACAACCAAGTGGGATTTATTCTAGGTATGCAAGGCTGGCTCAACATTTGAAAATCAATTAACGTAATCAATCACATCAATAGGCAAAATAAAGAATAAAAACCATATGATCATATAGACAGATGCAGGAAAAGCATTTGACAAATTCCAATACCCATTCATGACAAAAACTATCAGCAAAGTACAAATGAAGAGGCATTTATTCAAATTCACTTAAAAATCTGCAAAAAATCTACAGTTAACATATTTATTTATGAGAAACTAGATGTTTTCTCCCTAACAAAGGGGAACAAATTGGGAACAAGCCAAGCATGTCCTCTCTCACCATTGCTATTCAGCATTGTACTGGAAGCCCTAGCTAATGCAATAAGAAAAGAAAAGGTATAAAGATTGGAGAGAAATAACTAAAACTGTTTTTGTTCAAAGATGACATGATTTTTCTGTGAAAACATTCCACAGAATCAAAAACAACAACAACAACAAGCTCTGGAACTAATAAACAATTATAGCAAAGTTGAGGGATACAAGATTAATATACAAAACTCAATTGTTTTTCCGTATACCAGAAATGAACAACTGGAATTTGAAATTAAAAACACAATACCATTTTACATTAGTATCAGAGAGAGAGAGAGAGAAGAAGAAGAAGGAAAGGAGGAAGAAGAAGAAAGAAAAAGGATAGGGAGAAGAAGAGGTAGAAGGAGAAGAAGAAGGGGAGGAAGGAGGGAAGAGAAATACTTAAATATAAATCTACTAAAATACGTACTATGTCTATGTGAGGAAAATTACAAAATTCTGATAAAAATAAAACAGGTTTAAGCAAATGCAGAGACATTCTATGTTAATAGGTAGGTATAATCAATATTGTTAAGATGCCAATTCTTATCAGTTTGACCTATCAATTCAACACAATCCCAACCAAAATCCCAGCAATCAATATCATGGATATTGATAAACTGATTTCAAAGTTTATATGGAAACACAAGAGGCCAATATTGAAGAAGAAGAAAATCAGAAGACTGACAATACATGACACTTATTTGGAAGATATAGTAATCAAGACAGGGTGGTATTAATAAAAGAATAGTTGAATATATTAATGTATCAGAATAGAGAGCCCAGAAATAAACCCACGCAAATATAGTCAACTGATCTTTGACAAAGGAGCAAAGGCAATTCAATGGAGAAAGGATAGGCTTTCCAACAAATGGTGCCAAAACAATTGGACATTGTGCTGGGCATCCCCATAACTACCCTCAGGTTGAATGATTCACTAGGAGATCTCAAAAAACTCAGAAAAATTGTTATAGTCATGGTTATTACATGACTACAAATTTATTACAGAGAAAGGATACAGATTAACATGGGCAAAGGAGAAAAACATACAGATCAGAGTCCTGAGGAGACCAAGATTACGCTTCCAGTGGTCCTCTCCCAGTGGAGTTGTACGGGCAATATTTATTTCCCCCAGTAATAATATGTGACAATACGTTGGAGGTATTATCAACAAGGGAAGCTCACCTGAGCCTTGGTATCAGTCACATAGTCATGTAATATCCATGTGACTGACCTTAGGTACTCAGTCTCCAGCCGCTACAGAGGTCAAATTGATACAGCATTGCACAAGACTTTCACATAAACTACATTGTTAGCATAAGCTATCTGGCATGGCCCAAGGCCCCAGATATGCAAAGACAGGCAGGATATCCCAATGGTGTAGAGGTTAACTGTCAGAAGCAGGTCAGGAGCCAGTGTCTTCTTTGCAATGTGCAGCCTGCTTAGTTAACTTTTGCTGCACAGGCATCTAGATGCCAAGAAAAAAAAAAAACCAAACACAGATCTAGCATGTTTTATAAAAGTTAGCTCAATATGAATCATAAATCTAAATGTCAAACACGAAACTATAAAACTTATAGAAGATAAGAGAGGAGAAAATCTAGGTGACCTTGGAGATGAGTTTTTAGATACAGCATCAAAAGCACAATACATGGAAGAAAAAATGGTAAGTTGGAATTTACTAAAATGAAAAACTTCTGCTTTGTGAAAGACACTGTTAAGAGAATAAGCCACAGATTGGGAGGAAATATTTGTAAAACACATATCTAAAGAAGGATTTATGTTCAAAATATACAAAAAACTCTTAAATGCACAATAAAAAAACACCAATTAAAAATGGGCAAAAGATTTAAAGAAACACCTCACTAAAGGAGATATATGGATGACAAATAAATATACGAAAATATATTTAACATCCTATTGATACAGCACAGGCAAGCCCCCAAATTGGGGATTATCTAGGGAGGGTTCTTGGCTTTGCCTAGGAAAGAATTCAAGGGCGAGCCGGTGGTGGTAAACAGTAACTTTTATTGAAGCGGCAGTGTACAGCAGCAGCAGAGGTACTGCTCCTTGCAGACCGGGGCTGTCCCATAGACAGTGTGCCCAGAATAGCAGCTCAGAGGCAGGGCTGCACTCATATTTATACCCACTTATAATTATATGCAAATTAAGGGGAGGTTATGCAGAAATTTCTAGAAAAATTGTGGCAACTTCTGGGTTGTCAGGGCCATTGCCATGTCATTAAGGAACTGCAAATTAAAACAATAATGCATACCTATTAGAATGGCTCAAGAAACAAGCAAACTGGACAATACCAAATGCTGACAAGGATGTGGAGCAACAAGAATTCTCATTCATTGCTGGTGAAAATGTAAAATGGTACAGTCACTTTGGAAGACAGTTGGGCAGTTTCTCACAAAGCTAGTGTTAACGTACAATCTAGTAATCATGCTCCTGGGTATTTGCCCAATGGAGTTGAAAACATGTATACACAGAAACCTGCACTCTAATGTTTATAGCAGCTTTATTCACAGTTGCCAAAAACTGGAAGCAATCAAGATGTCTTCAATAGGTGAATGGATGAACAAACTGTGGTACATTCATACAATGGAATATTATTCAGCAATAAAAAAGAAATGTGCTATCAAGCTACAAAAAGACAGGAAGGAAGTTTAAGTATATATTACTAAGTGAAAGAAGCCAGTTTGAAAAGGCTAAATACTGTATGAACTCAACTCTATTACAATCTGAAAAAGGCAAAACCATAGAGACAGTAAAAAGATCAGTGGCCTGGGTGCAGTGGCTCATGCCTGTAATCCCAGCACTTTGGGAGGCCAAGACAGGCAGATCGCTTTGAGCTGAAGAGTTCAAGACCAGCCTGGGCAATATGGCAAAACCCCATCTCTACAAAAAATATAAAAATTAGCTGGGCCTGTAGCCCCAGCTAGCTGGGAGGCTAATGCTAGAGAATCGCTTGAGCCCCGGAAGTGGAGCTTGCAGTGAGCTGAGATCTTGCCACTGCACTCCAGCCTGGGCAACAGAGTGAGAGTCTACCTAAAAAAAAAAAAAAAAAAAAAAAAAATCAGCTGTTGGCAGGGGAAAGTGGGGAGACATGAATAGGTGAATCAGCACAGGGGATTTTTAGGGGGTAAAAACTAAAGAAGGGTACATGACATTAAGCAAAACCCATGGAACTGTACGTCACAAAGGGTGAGCCCTTAATGTAAACTATGAATTTTAGTTAATAGTAATGTATCAGTATTGGTTTGTGAATTATAACAAATGTATCACACAAATGGGAGATGTGAGAAAACTGGAGTTCACATGGGAGAGAGGGGATTTGGAAACTCTTTTGGACTACTGGCTCAATTTTTAAATCTAAAATTGTTCTAAAATAAAGTCGGCCGGGCGCTGTGGCTCACGTCTGTAATCCCAGCACCTTGGGAGGCCAAGGCAGGTGGATCATCTGAGGTCAGGATTTCGAGACCAGCCTGGTAAACATGGTGAAACCCCATCTCTACTAAAAATACAAAAATTAGCCAGGCGTGGTGGTGGGTGCCTGTAGTCCCAGCTACTGGGGCGCTGAGGAGGGAGGATCACTTGAACCCAGGAGGCAGAGGTTGCAGTGAGCTGAGCTCGAGCCACTGCACTCCAGTCTGTGCGACAGAGCAAGACTCTGTCTCAAAAAGAAAACAATGAAAAGAATAGAATAGAAGTCAATTCTATTAATTAAAAGAATTATGTCTTCCATAACGACAGTTTTAAACCCCACTTTCTAATCTTCTTACTGGTATAGTTTTCTCTTGACCTCCATTACGGCAGTGAACAGAAGTAGTCATACAAGCCATCCTTGCTGTGTTCACAATCCTAAATCTTAAAACTTTCAAAATTTCACCATTGACAATGGTGTTTTGGGATACTCTTTCGTATCAAAAATGTTGCCTTATTTTCCTAGTTTGTTAAATTTTTTTCAAATGATAGGTAATGAATTTTATCAAATGTATTTTCTCATCTAATGAGATTATCATGCCTTTTGTTTATCCTATACTCTCTGTGTGTGTGTATGTGTATTTTTTTTTCCTTACCCAATAGTAAGTAAGCAACCAATCCTATAGTCTGCTAATATGGTGAATTCTACTGATTGATTTTCTATTGTTAAGCCAAGGATATAGTACAGCAATACACCAACTTGGTCATGATGTATCCTTTGCATACATATTGCTGGATCTTTTGCTAATATTTTCTTTAGGACATTTGCTTCTATATTCTTCAGTGAGATTAATCTGTAATTTCTTTTCTCGTAATATCCTTGCCAGATCATGCTAGTGAGTTAACAATAGCCCCATAAAATGAGTTGGGGTGAGATTTTTTTGTTTGTTTGTTTTTTAGACAGAGTATCACTCTGTCACCCAGGTTGGAGTGCAGCAGTGCGATCTTGGCTCACTGCAACCTCCACCTTCCAGGTTCAAGTGATTCTCATGCCTTAACCTCCCGAGTAGCTGGGATTACAGGCACGTGCCACCACGCCCGGCTAATTTTTGTATTTTTAGGAGACATGAGGTTTCACCATGTTAGCCAGGCTGGTCCCCAACTCTTGACCTCAAGTGATCCACCTGCCTTGGCCTCCCAAAGTGCTGGGATTACAGACGTGAGCCACCGCACCCAGGCTGAGGTGAGATTTTTATTCTTCTATTCTTTAGAAGAATTTGAGAAAGTTTGGCATTTGGTAGAAATTGCCTACGAATCCACTTGGACTTTTGTTGAGGAAATTACAGATTATTTAATTAATTTTACTTATAGGACTAGTCATCATTTTTATTTCTTCCTGTGTAAGTTGTATTTTATTAAGGAATTTGTCCATTTCATGTAAATTTACAAATATATTTGTATATAATTAATTTATATAATATCCTTCTGTTATCTTTTTGGTGGCTTTATGATCTATAATGATGCGCCTGTTTATACTGCTAACTTAGATTGTTTGTATCTTTCTTTTATCTAATATATGTTAGCAATACCTCTCTAAGCCCTGTTTAGCTCCACCCCACAGGTTTTGATTTCCAATATTTTTCTAATATTTCGCTTCAAAATGTTTTCTTATTTCCATGATGATTTTTTTCTCTGATCCAAAAGGTTTTTAGAAGTGTATTTCTTAATTTCCAAACATATGAGGATCTTCTAATCATCTTTTCTTGTTGTGATTCCTGGCTTAATTGCATTGTGGTCAGAGAACGTTTTCCATATAATTTCAACCCTTTGTGTTCATACTTGCTTCACAGCTCAATGAATGTATAGTAAATTTTTGTCAATGTTTCATGGATGTTTGAAAGAATGTGTCAATTAAGTCATTTGTTAATAGTGTTATTTAATATTTTATATCCTTACTAATTTTATACTTGCTTAAACCATCTATTATTGAAAGAAGGGTGTTAAAAATCTCCCATTATGGGCCCCACTCATGCCTGTAATCCTAGCACTTTGGGATGCCAAGGCAGGTGGATCACCTGAGGTCAGGAGTTCAAGACCAGCCTGGCCAACATGGCGAAACCCCCTTTCTACTAAAATTACAAAAATTAGCCGTGGTGGTGCACACCTATAACCCCAGCTACTTGGGAGGCTGAGGCAGGAGAATCGCCTAAACCCAGGGTGCAGATGTTGCAGTGAGCTGAGATCGCCCCACTTCAGCCTGGGCGAAAGAGCAAAACTCCATCTCAAACAAACAAACAAACAAACAAACAACTCCCATTATGATTGTAGATGCATCTATATTTCCTTGCAGTTCAATCCATTTTTTTAAATTAAATAAACTCCATGCTTTACTTGTATTTCACTGTTTTCTCCCTAATGTCGTTTTTCAATTCAGGGTCCCATCTAGGATACCACATTACATTTAGTTGTTGTGTCTCCTTTAGCCCCCTCTTGTCTGTGACAGTTTCTCAGACTTTCCTTTTTACCTTTTCCAATACTTTGAAAGTTTTAATGAGTATTAGTCAGGTATTTTGTAGAATGTCCTTCAATTTTGGCTTGTCTAGTGTTTTCTTCATGGTTAGATAGGGGTTCTATGTTTTGGGGAGGTAAACCACAGAGGTGAAGTGCCATCCTCATTACATCTCATTAAAAATGTAGGTATTATCTGCTGGATGCAATGACTCACACATGCAATCCTAGTACTTTAGAAGGCCAAGGTTGGGGGGATCACTTGAGGTCAGGAGTTCGAGACCAGCCTGGCCAAGTGGATTCATAGGCAAATTCTACCAAATGCCAAACTTTCTCAAATTCTTCTAAAGAATAGAATAAAAATCTCACCCCAGGCTGGGTGTGGTGGCTCACGCCTGTAATCCCAGTACTTTGGGAGGCCAAGGCAAGCAGATCACTTGAGGTCAAGAGTTGGAGACCAGCCTGGCAAACACGGTGAAACCCTGTCTCTACTAAAAATACAAAAATTAGCCAGGCATGGTGGCATGCACGTGTAATCCCAGCCACTTGGGAGGCTGAAGCAGGAGAATCGCTTGAACCCAGGAGGCAGAGGTTGCAGTGAACAGAAATCTTACCACTGCACTCCAGCCTGGTGACAGAGTGAGACCTTGTCTCAAAAAACTAAAACTAAAAGGTAGGTATTATCCACATAACTGATCTTTTTAATCTTGATTACCAGGCCGGGATACTATTTGCCAGGTTTCTACTTCTCCACCTGGCTTCCCTATTCTACTCTTTGGAAGCGAGTCAGTAAGTGCAGCCCACACTCTAGGGGTGAGGAGTTAAGCTCCACTTCCTTGGGGAAGAAGCAACTACATACCTTTATTATATAATTCTGTATGGGACATTTGTCCCTTCTCTCCCATTTATTTACTATATCATTTATTTATATCCATATGGACTCATAGATATTTATTTATGTTTTGAGTTATAATCAAATACTATTAGTACATTATTTATTTTGCTGCTCAAATTTTTCCAGCTTTGGCCACCGAGAGCTCTTTAATGTTGGCTTGTTTCAGTCAGCATAAAGTTTTTGAGACTCATCCATTTTGTTGTTATCAGTAGTCTGTTTCTTTTAATTGCAAGAAGTATTGTATTTTATGAATATATCCCACTTCATAAACATTGGGTTATTTCCAGTTTTGGCTATCAGAAATGCAAAGCTTCTATGAACAGTTATGTATACGTCTCTTCGTGGACATATGTTTTCATTTACTTTGAATAAATACACAGGTGTAAAATTAGAGTCATCAGCTAGCTTTATGTTTAATAAGAAGCTACCAAGCAAGCAACTTTTCAAAGTAATTGTGCCATTTCACACATCCAAGAGCAACGTGAGAGTTTTTGTTATGTCAAATGCTTGCCAACATGTGGTGTTGACAGTCTTTATAATTTTAGACATTCTAGTAGGCATGTAGTGATTCATTATGGCTTTAATTTGCCTTTGCCTGCTGAGTAATGATGTCGAGCACTTTTTTTATATGTCTTTGTCCATTCATATGTCTTTGTTTGCTTCTGAAAATGTTGCTCAAGTCTGTCATCCACATTTTTATTGTGTTAGAAGTTCTTTATTATTCTGGATAGAAATCCATATTCAGATATATGTACTGTGAATGTTTTCTACCAGCCTTTGGTTTTGCCTGTTCGTTTTCTTAGCTGAGTCTTTTTTTTTGTATTGTGGTAAAAACCACACAACATTAAACCATCCTAAACATTTTTAAATGTACATTTCAGTACTGTTAAGTATATTCACTTGTGCAACAAGTCTCTAGAAATTTTTCTTCTTGCAACACTGAAACTCTATACCTACCAAACATGAATTCCCCATCCCACCTCCCGCAAGTTCTTGGCGACTACCTTTTTACTTTATGTTTTGAGGATTCTGACTTATTTAGATACTTTATATGAGTGAATTATACAGTATTTGTCCATTTGTGACTGGCTTATTTCACTTAGCATAATGTCCTTAAGCTTCATTCATGTTGTAACATGCCCTTTTTTAAGGGCACATAAAATTCCATTATGTGCATATACCACATTTTCTTATCCAATTACCTGTTATTTCCTCCTGTTGGCTATTGTGAATAATCCTGCAATGAACATGGGTGTGCAAATATCTCTGAGATCTGCTTTGAAGCTTTTTGGCTATATACCCAAAAGGGGGATTGCTGGATCATATGATAGTTCTATTTTTAATGTTTTGAGAAACTCCATACTGTTTTTCATAACATCTGTATAATTTACTTTCCCACCACCAGTGCATGAGGACCCAAACTTCTCTGCATCCTTGTCAACACTTGTTATTTCCTGTTATTTTTATAATGGCTATCCTGATGGGTGTGAGGTGATATCTCATTGTGAGTTTTATTTACATTTCCCTAGTGATTAATGATGTTGAGCATATTTTCATGTACTTAATAACCATTCATATATCTTCTTTGGAGAAATGTCTATTTAAATCCTTTGCCAGTTTTTAAATTGGATTATTTGGGGTTTTTCTTGTTGTTAAGTTGTACAAGATCCTTATATATTCTGGATATTGACCCCTTATCAGATATATGACTTGCAACTCTTTTCTCCCATTCCATAGGTTGCCTTTTCTCTCTGTTGACTGTTACTTTGATGTGTAAAAAAACTTAAGTTTTATGTAGTACTATTTGTCTATTTTTTATTTTGTTGCCTGTGCTTTTGGTATCATATCCAAGAAATTATTGCCAAATCCAATTGTTGGCATATAATTGCTCATAATGGCATTTACATTTTAAGAAATTGCTGATAGTGAAGGACTTACTGTTGCCATTTTGTTCATTGTGTTCTGTTTCACTTGTAGCTTTCTTTGTCCCCCCCCCCTTTTTTCTTTTGATAATTTCTTTTGTGTTTCATTAATTTTTTTTTGTGGCCACAGATTTTGATTCCCTTCTCACTTCCTTTCCTTTACAGTCTTTGTCCATTTTCTGTTGCTGTAACAGAATACTTGAGACCAGGTAATTTATTTTTTAAAAAGAGGTTTGTTTAGCTCACAGTTCTTGATGCTGGGAAGTTCAAGATCAAACAGCTGCATCTGACGAGGGTCTCATGCTGTGTCATAACATGGAGGATGGCATCACATGGTGGTTATGCATGTGAGAGCACTGAGCGGGTACACACACAAGAGAGAAAACATGAGGGGTGACCTCACTTTATAACAACCCACTCTTGCGGTAACTAATCCAGTCACTGAAGAGCAATAATTCACTCCTGTGAAATGGCATTAATCCCTTCATAAGGACAGATGGCTTATGACCCAAATGCCTCTTAAAGGTCCCACCAGTTCTCAACACCATTACATGGGGAACAAGCCTTAACATGAATTTCAGTGGGGGATAAACCATATTCAAATCATAGCACTTACATTCTATAGTTACTGTCTTTGTGGTAACCATTGCAATTACGTGAAACATAACCTCTTAATGTTTTAACAATCTACTTTTAATGAGTACCATGTGGTGGTTTCCTGATTAAAGCCCCTTAATTCAGAAAAACTGCTTGCTTGCTTACTTGTTTGCCTGTTCTCTTACATAGGTGTGTCTCCATAGATAAATTAGGGGAAAATCTGTCCCTTTGTATTTCAAAAAGGGCAAAGAAAATTGTAATTAGATTTCTCCATAGACACACTCTTTCCTCCCTGGGGGAAACTAATAAGAAGAGGGTATAACACTTTCCCTAGCTAGAATTCCCTACAGAAGTTTGCCTTTGGACTGCAAAGAAAACGGCTCTTTCATTCTTAATCATCAGATAAGTAATTCAGTACCACTGGGACAATTGTAGATTCAGATCTTTTGGCAGAAGACTGGAAGAATATGGGTAATATCATAACAATCTATTTTAAGCTGATAACAACTTAGCTTCAATTGCATCTAAAACTCTGCTTCTTTACATCTCAGTCCACCCCACCTTTATGTTACTGATGACTCAAATTACCTTTTTTATATTGCATATCCATTACCATAGATTTATAATTACTTTCTATGCTTTTGTTTTTTGAATTCTATGAGATTTAGAAGAGATTTACACACATTACAATACTACAAGATTCTATATTTATCTATATATTTACCAGAGAATTTAATATTTTCTTTTTTTTTTTTTGAATTGCATTTTGTCCCTTTACCTCAACTTCAGGGACTCCCTTCAGCATTTCTTGTAGGTCAGGACTAGTGGTGATAAACTCCCTCAAATTTTATTTATTTGGGAAAGTTGTAATTTCATCTTTGTTTTTGAAGGACAGTTTTGTTGGATCTAGCATTCTTAGTTGGCAGGTTTTTTCTTCCAACACAGGCATATCTCATTTTATTGCACTTTATTTTATTGTGCTTCACAGATATTACATTTTATACAAATTGAAGGCTTGTGGCAACCCTGTGTCAAGCAAATCTTTTGGCACCATTTTTCCAATAGCACATGCTTACTTTGTGTCTCTGTGTCACATTTTGATAATTCTTAAAACATTTCAAACTTTATTATTAATAGTAGCATATCTGTTATTGTGATCTGTGATCAGTGATCTTTGATGTTACTATTGTAATTGTTTTGGGGTGCCATGAAAAGACAGCAAACTTAATTGATCCATCTTGTGTGTGTTCTCACTCCTCCACCAAATGGCTATTCCCCGTCTCTCTTTTCCTCGGGCCTCCCTATTCCCTGAGACATGAAAACATTGAAATTAGGCCAATTGATAATCTTACAATAATAGCCTCTAAGTGTTCTAGTGAAAGGAAGAGTCATATGTCTCTTGCTTTAAATAAAATGCTAGAAATGATTAAGGTTAGTGAGGAAGACACGTCAAAGGCTGAGATGGGCTAAAGGCTGGTCCTCTTGTACCAAACAGCCAAGTTTTAAATGCAAAGAAAAATTTCTTGAAGAAAATTAAAAGTGCTACTCCAGTGAACACATAAAGCAAAACCACTTTATTGCTGATGTGGAGAAAGTTTGAGTGGTCTGGATAGATCAAACCAGCCACGACATTCCCAAAGCCAAAGCCTAATTCAGAACAAGGCTAACTCTCTTCTGTACTATGGAGGAAGGCTGAGAGAGGTCAGGAAGCTGCAGAAGAAAAGTTTGAAGCTAGCAGAAGTTGGTTCATGAGGTTTAAGGGAAGAAGCCATCTCCATAACATAAAAGTGCAAGTGTTGATGTAGAAGCTGCAGCAAGTTATCCAGAAGATCTAGCTAAGATCATTGATGAAGGTGGCTACACTAAACAACAGCTTTTCAATGTAGATAAAACAGGCTTCTATTGAAAGCAGATGCCATCTGGGACTTTCACAGTTAGAGAGGAGAAGTCAATGCCTAGCTTCAAAGCTTCAAAGGACAGCTGACTCTCTTGTTAGGGGCTAATGCAGCTGGTGGCTTTAAGTTGAAACCAATGCTTATTTACCATTTTGGAAATTCTAGAGCTTTTAAGAATTATACTAAATCTGATCTGCCTGTGCTCTATAAATTGAACAACAAAGCCTGGATGACAGGACATCTGTTTACAGCATAGTTTACTGAATATTTTAAGCTCACTATAGAGACATGCTACTCAGAAAAAAAGATTCATTTCAAAATATTATTGCTCATTGACAATAAGCCTGGTCACCCAAGAGTTCTGATGGAGATGTACAAGGAGATGAATGTTGTTTTCATGCCCACTAGCACAACATCCATTCTGCAGCCCATGGATCAAGAAATAATTTCAATTTTCAAGTCTTATTATTTAAGAAATACATTTTGTTAGGTTATAGCTGCCCTAGATACTGATTCTTCTGATGGATCTGGGCAAAGTAAATGTAAATCTTCTGGAAAGGATTCACCATTCTGGATGCCATTAAGAACATTTGTGATTCATGAGAGGTTAGAATATCAACATTAACAAGAGTTTGGAAAAAGTTGTTTTCAACTTCATGAATGACTGTGAGGGGCTTAACACTTCATTGGAGGAAGTGACTTCATACGTGGAAATAGCAAGATAACTAGAATTAGAAGTGGATCCTGAAGATCTAACTGAATTGCTGTAAACTCATTTTAAAACTTGAATGTGTACATGAGCCCCCTGAGGCCCCAGAGCTATCTTTTTGGTTGTTAACTAAAGGTCGACAAAGATTATCACTTTAAGGTGGATAATGATGAAAATGAGCACCAGTTATCTTTAATAACGGCCAGTTTAGGGGCTGCTACAAAGGATGAATTGCACATTGTTGAAGCAGAGGCAATGAATTATGAAGGCATTCCAGTTAAAGTAACACTGTCAACTTTCAAAATGTCTATACAGCCAATGGTTTCCTCTGGGGGCTTTGAAATCACACTACCAGTGGTCTTACGGCTGAAGTGTGGTTCAGGGCCAGTGCATATTAGTGGACAGCACTTAGGACGAAGATGCAGAGCCAGAAGATGAAGAGGAGGAAGATGTGAAACTCTTAAGTATATCTGGAAAGCGGTCTGCCCCTGGAGGTGGTAGCAAGTTTCCAGAGGAAAAAGTAAAACTTGCTGCTGATGCAAATGATGATGAAGATGAAGATGAAGAAGAAGATGATGATGATTTTGATGATAAGGAAACTGAAGAAAAAGTGCCAGTGAAGAAATCTATATGAGATACTCCAGCCAAAAATGCACAGAAGTCAAATCAGAATGGAAAGGACTCAAAACCGTCATCAACACCAAGATCAAAAGGACAAGAATCCTTCAAAAAAAAAAAAAAAAAAAAAAAAAAAAAAACCAGAAAAAAACTCCTAAAACACCAAAAGGACCTAGTTCTGTTGAAGACATTAAAGCAAAAATGTGGGTCCCCGTTCCAAGATGGCTAAATAGGAACAGCTCCGGTCTGCATCTCCCAGTGTGATTGGTGCAGAAGAGGGTGATTTCTGCATTTCCAACTGAAGTACCTGGTTCATCTAATTGGGACAGGTTAGACAGTGGGTGCAGCCCATGGAGGGTGAGCCAAAGCAGGGCAGGGCATCACCTCACCCGGGAAGTGCAAGGGGTCAGGGGATTTCCCTTACCTAGCCGAGGGAAGCCGTGACAGACTGTACCTGGAAAATCGGGACACTTCCACCCAAATACTGCACATTTCAAATGGTCTTAGCAAATGGCACACCAGGAGATTATATCCCGTGCATGGCTCAGTGGGTCCCACGCCCACGGAGACTTGCTCACTGCTAGAGCAGCAGTCTGAGATTGACCTGTGAGTCAGCAGCCTAGCAGGGGGAGGGGCATCCACCATTGCTGAGGCTTGAGTAGGTAAACAAAGTGGCCAGGGAAGCTCGAACTGGGCAGAGCCCACCGCAGCTCTGCAAGGCCTGCTGCCTCTATAGAGCCCACCCCTGGGGGCAGGGCATAGCTGAACAAAAGGCAGCAGAAACTTCTGCATACCTAAACGTCCCTGTCTGACAGCTCTGAAGAGAGCAGTGGTTCTTCCAGCATGGTGTTTGAGCTCTGAGAATGGACAGACTGCCTCCTCAAGTGGGTCCCTGACCCCCATGTAGCCTAACTGGGAGATACCTCCCAGTAGGGGCTGACCGACACCTCATACAGGAGGGTGTCCCTCTGGGATGAAGATTCTAGAGGAAGGATCAGGCAGCAATATTTGCTGTTCTGCAATATTTGCTGTTCTACAGCCTCTACTGGTGATACCCAGGCAAACAGGGTATGGAGTGGACCTCCAGCAAACTCCAACAGACCTGCAGCTGAGGGACCTGACTGTTAGAAGGAAAACTAACAAACAGAAAGGGATAGCAACATCAACAAAAAAGACATCCACACCAAAACCCCATCTGTAGGTCACCAGCATCAAAGACCAAAGGTAGATAAAACCACAAAGATGAGGAGAAACCAGAGCAGAAAAGCTGAAAATTCTAAAAACCAGAGCACCTCTTCTCCTCCGAAGGATCACAGCTTGTCACCAGCAATGGAACAAAGCTAGATGGAGAATGACTTTGATGAGCTGACAGAAGTAGGCTTCAGAAGGTTGGTAATAACAAACTTCTCTGAGCTAAAGGAGGATGTTCGAACCCATTGCAAGGAAGCTAAAAACCTTGAAAAAATATTAGACGAATGGCTAACTAGAATAAACAGTGTAGAGAAGACCTTAAATGACCTGATGGAGCTGAAAACCATGGCACGAGAACTACATGACGCATGCAAAAGCTTCAATAGCCGATTTGATCAAGTGGAAGAAAGGGTATCAGTGATGGAAGATTGAATTTTTTATTATTATTATTATACTTTAAGTTTTAGGGTACATGTGCACAATGTGCAGGTTAGTTACATTTGTATACATGTGCCATGCTGGTGTGCTGCACCCATTAACTCGTCATTTAGCATTAGGTATATCTCCTAAAGCTATGCCTCACCCCTCCCCCCATCCCACAACAGTCCCCAGAGTGTGATGTTCCCCTTCCTGTGTCCATGTGTTCTCATTGCTCAATTCCCAACTATGAGTGAGAATATGTGGTGTTTGATTTTTTGTTCTTGTGATAGTTTACTGAGAATGATGATTTCCAATTTCATCCATGTCCCTACAAAGGACATGAACTCATTTTTTATGGCTGCATAGTATTCCATGGTGTATATGTGCCACATTTTCTTAATCCAGTCTATCATTGTTGGACATTTGGGTTGGTTCCAAGTCTTTGCTATTGTGAATAGTGCCACAATAAACATACGTGTGCATATGTCTTTATAGCAGCATGATTTATAGTTCTTTGGGTATATACCCAGTAACGGGATGGCTGGGTCAAATGGTATTTCTAGTTCTAGATCCCTGAGGAATCGCCACACTGACTTCCACAAGGGTTGAACTAGTTTACAGTCCCACCAACAGTGTAAAAGTGTTCCTACTTCTCCACATCCTCTCCAACACCTGTTGTTTCCTGACTATTTAATGATTGCCATTCTAACTGGTGTGAGATGGTATCTCATTGTGGTTTTGATTTGCATTTCTCTGATGGCCAGTGATGGTGAGCATTTTTTCATGTTTTTTGGCTGCATAAATGTCTTCTTTTGAGAAGTGTCTGTTCATGTCCTTCACCCACTTTTTGATGGGGTTGTTTGTTTTCTTCTTGTAAATTTGTTTGAGTTCATTGTAGATTCTGGATATTAGCCCTTTGTCAGATGAGTAGGTTGCGAAAATTTTCTCCCATTTTGTAGGTTGCCTGTTCACTCTCATAGTAGTTTCTTTTGCTGTGTAGAAGCTCTTTAGTTTAATTAGACCCCATTTGTCAATTTTGGCTTTTGTTGCCATTGCTTTTGGTGTTTTAGACATGAAGTCCTTGCCCATGCCTATGTCCTGAATGGTAATGCCTAGGTTTTCTTCTAGGGTTTTTATGGTTTTAGATCTAACGTTTAAGTCTTTAATCCATCTTGAATTAATTTTTGTATAAGGTGTAAGGAAGGGATCCAGTTTCAGCTTTCTACATATGGCTAGCCAGTTTTCCCAGCACCATTTATTAAATAGGGAATCCTTTCCCCATTGCTTGTTTTTTTCAGGTTTGTCAAAGATTAGATAGTTGTAGATATGCAGCGTTATTTCTGAGGGCTCTGTTCTGTTCCATTGATCTATATCTCTGTTTTGGTACCAGTATCATGTTGTTTTGGTTACTGTAGCCTTGTGGTATAGTTTGAAGTCAGGTAGTGTGATGCCTCCAGCTTTGTTCTTTTGGCTTAGGATTGACTTGGTGATGAATTAATGAAATAAAGTGAGAGGAGAAATTTAGAGAAAAAAGAGTAAAAAGAAATGAACAAAGCCTCCAAGAAATATGGGACTATGTGAAAAGACCAAATCTACGTTTGATTGGTGTACCTGAAAGTGATGGGGAGAATGGAACCAAGTTGGAAAACACTCTTCAGGGTATTATCTAGGAGAACTTCCCCAACCTAGCAAGGCAGGCCAACATTCAAATTCAGGAAATACACAGAACATTACAAAGATACTGCTCGAGAAGAGCAACCCCAAGACACATAATTGTCAGATTCACCAAGGTTGAAATGAAGGAAAAAGTGTTAAGGGCAGCCAGAGAGAAAGGTTGGGTTACCCACAAAGGGAAGCCCATCAGACTAACAGCGAATCTCTTGACAGAAACTCTACAAGCCAGAAGAGAGTGGGGGCCAATATACAACATTCTTAAAGAAAATAATTTTCAACCCGCAGTTTCATATCCAGCCACACTAAGCTTCATCAGTGAAGGAGAAATAAAATCCTTTACAGACAAGCAAATGCTGAGAGATTTTGTCACCACCAGGCCTGCCTTATAAAAGCTCCTGAAGGAAGCACTAAACATAGAAAGGAACAACCGGTACCAGCCACTGCAAAAACATGCCAAATTGTAAAGACTATTGATGCTAGCAAGAAACTGCATCAACTAACGGGCAAAATAACCAGCTAACATCATAATGGTGGGATCAAATTCACACATAACAATATTAACCTTAAATGTAAATGGGCTAAATGCCCCAATTAAAAGACACAGACTGGCAAATTGGATAGTCAGTGTGCTGTATTCAGGAGACCCATCTCACGAGCAGAGACACACATAGGCTCAAAATAAAGGGATAGAGGAAGATCTACCAAGCAAATGGAAAGAAAAAAAAAAAGCAGGGGTTACAATCCTAGTCTCTGATAAAACAGACTTTAAACCAACAAAGATCAAAAGAGACAAAGAAGGCCATTACATAATGGTAAAGGGATCAATTCAAAAAGAAGAACTAACTATTCTAAATATATATGCACCCAATTCAGGAGCACCCAGATTCATAAAGCAAGTCCTTAGAGACCTACAAAGAGGCTTAGACTCCCACACAATAATAATGGGAGACTTTAACACTCCACTGTCAATATTAGACAGATCAACGAGACAGAAAGTTAACAAGGATATCCAGGACTTGAATTCAGCTCGGCACCAAGCAGACCTAATAGACATCTACAGAATTCTCCACCCCAAATCAACAGAATATACATTCTTCTAAGCACCACATTGCACTTTTTCCAAAATTGACCACATAGTTGGAAGTAAAGCACTCCTCAGCAAATGTAAAAGAACATAAATCACAACAAACTGTCTCTCAGACCACAGTGCAATCAAATTAGAATTCAGGATTAAGAAACTCACTCAAAACTGCACAACTTCATGGAAAATGAACAACCTGCTCCTGAATGACTACTGGGTAAATAATGAAATGAAGGCAGAAATAAAGATGTTCTTTGAAACCAATGAGAACAAAGACACAACATACCAGAATCTCTGGGACACATTTAAAGCAGTGTGTAGAGGGAAATTTATAGCACTAAATGCCCACAAGAGAAAGCAGGAAAGATCTAAAATTGACACCCTAACATCACAATTAAAAGAACTAGAGAAACAAGAGCAAACAAATTCGAAAGCTAGCAGAAGGCAAGAAATAACTAAGATCAGAGCAGAACTAAAGGAGATAGAGACACAAAAAACCCTTCAAAAAAATCAATGATTCCAGGAGCTTGTTTTTTGAAAAGATAAACAAAATTGATAGACTGTTAGCAAGACGAATAAAGAAGAAAAGAGAGAAGAATCAAATAGATACAATAAAAAGTGATAAAGGGGATATCACCACTGATCCCACAGAAATACAAACTACCATCAGAGAATATTATAAACACCCCTACGCAAATAAACTAGAAAATCTAGAAGAAATGGATAAATTCCTGGACACATACACCCTCCCAAGACTAAACCAGGAAGAAGTTGAATCTCTGAATAGACCAATAAGAGGCTCTGAAATTGAGGCAATAATTAGTAGCCTACCAACCAAAAAAAGTCCAGGACCAGATGGACTCACAGCCGAATTCTACCAGAGGTACAAAGAGGAGCTGGTACCATTCCTTCTGAAACTATTCCAATCAATAGAAAAAGAGGGAATCCTCCCTAACTCATTTTATGAGGCCAGCATCATCCTGATACCAAAGCCTGGCAGAGACACAACAAAAAAAGAGAATTTTAGACAAATATCCCTGATTAACATTGGTGCAAAAATCCTCAATAAAATACTGGCAAACCGAATCCAGCAGCCCATCAAAAAGCTTTTCCATCACGATCAGGTCAGCTTCATCCCTAGGATGCAAGGCTGGTTCAACATACGCAAATCAATAAACATAATCCATCACATAAACAGAACCAAGGACAAAAACCACATGATTATCTTAATAGATGCAGAAAAGGCCTTTGACAAAATTCAACAGCCCTTCATGCTAAAAACTCTCAATAAACTAGGTATTGATGGAATGTATCTCAAAATAATAAGAGCTATTTATGACAAACCCACAGCCAATATCACACTGGGCAGGCAAAAACTGGAAGCATTCCCTTTGAACAGTGGCACAAGACAAGGATGCCCTCCCTCACCACTCCTATTCAACATAGTGTTGGAAGTTCTGGCCAGGGCAATCAGGCAAGAGAAAGAAATAAAGGATATTCAATTAGGAAAAGAAGAAGTCAAATTGTCCCTGTTTGCAGATGACATGATTGTGTATTTAGAAAACTCCATTGTCTCAGCCCAAAATCTCCTTAAGCTGATAAGCAACTTCAGCAAAATCTCAGGACACAAAATCAATGTGCAAAAATCACAAGCATTCCTATACACCAACAGCAGACAGAGAGCCAAATCATGAGTGAACTCCCATTCACAATCGCTGCAAAGAGAATAAAATACCTGGGAATTCAACTTACAAGGGATGTGAAGGACCTCTTCAAGGAGAACCACAAACCACTGCTCAACGAAATAAAAGAGGACACAAACAAATTGAGGAACATTCCATGCTCACGGATAGGAAGAATCAATATAGTGAAAACGGCCATACTGCCCAAGGTAATTTATAGATTCAATGACATCCCCATCAAGCTACCAATGACTTTCTTCACAGAATTGGAAAAAACTACTTTAAAGTTCATATGGAACCAAAAAAGAGCCTGCATTGCCAAGACAATCCTAAGCCAAAAGAACAAAGCTGGAGGCATCATGCTACCTGACTTTGAGCTATACTACAAGGCTACAGTAACCAAAACAGCATGGTACTGGTACCAAAACAGAGAGATAGACCAATGGAACAGAACAGAGGCCTCAGAAATAATACCACACATCTACAATCATCTGATTTTTGACAAACCTGACAAAAACAAGAAATGGGGAAAGGATTCCCTATTTAACAAATGGTGCTGGGAAAACTGGCTAGCCATATGTAGAAAGCTGAAACTGGGTCCCTTCCTTACACCTTATACAAAATTAATTCAAGATGGATTAAAGACTTAAACATTAGACCTAAAATCATTGAGGAGTGACAAGGTTTGAAACATACGGCATCAGAGGCTAGTCTGTGGAAAATTCTTCACACGTCTAAAATTTTTCTTTTTTTTTTTTTGAGATGGAGTCTCGCTCTGTCACCCAGGCTGCAGTGCAGTGGCGCGACTTGGGCTTACCGCAACCTCTGCCTCCTGGGTTCAAGCGATTCTCCTGCCTCAGCCTCCCAAGTAGCTGGAACTACAGATGCATGCCACCACACCTGGCTGATTTTTGTATTTTTAGTAGAGACGGGGTTTCACTGTGTTGGCCAGGCTGGTCTCAAACTCCTGACCTCATGATCCACCAGACTTGGCCTCCCAAAGTGCTGGGATTACAGGCACGAGCCACCATGCCTGGTCTCAGAAATTTCTTTATGCTGTACAGTCCAGCTGCTAGCTTTTTGAACTGTGGGCATATGCCACCTGACTCTAAAGATTGGCTGCTAGCTTTTGGATCTTTGGGAAGATTTCTTTGCTCTGTAATCCAACCCCTGGCCTTCTGTGCTTTGGGAGATCTCTCTCCACCCTGATTCCTGTCCCTAGCGGTGGAGCGCCAAGTCAGTATATTCACTGAAAGACCAGAGTGTCTGTGAGCGGCTTTCTCAGTTCTCCTTTCCTGTTCCCAGCTTGAGCAGACTCTGCGTGTCTTTCCTCAGGAAGGTCTTTCTCAGCCCTCCTGTCCTGTCCCATCTCAGGCAGCCTCCGAGAGGGCCCAGTTTCTCAGAGGGTTTCTCTCAGTTAACGACCCTGTCCTCAGCAGGCCCTGTGTGTGTCCGCCTGAGGAGAGAGTCTCTCGATTCTCTGCCCTCAACTTTCACACCCTGGGAAGGTCTGTGGTGCGGCTTGGTGAGCAGGTGCAGACTCTCTTCACGGCTGGGGCTTGTTGGGACCCTGGCCCAGTATGCTAGCCCACACTGGTTTCTTTTTACCCTGATCAAGGGTGGCCTCCTTTCCCTCCTCTGAAAGTGGCTGTGGGAATGACTTATTACTTTGAATTACTTATTACTTTCTGGAATTTTAATTAACTTATTTTTGTTTTGCTTTGTTCTGTTTGCAGCCTCACTTCTGCTCTCTGATGGCTTTTAAAATCTATGCTGCTGTAGGTGTTCCAGCTGTCACGTGATGTTATAATGAGAGCCATGTTCTCGCAGGATTTTTTAAGTGGGAGCAGAACGCCCCCAGTTGTTTTTTTATTATGTTCGGGACATTGTGCTTGCAAAACTGTAGGAATAATTGAGGCCTGGGATGATGTCATTTTCTTCCAGAGATGATTTTTATTTGCTTCTTCCAAGCCTAACAAGCCTAGGAGTCCTGGTAGTTGGCAGTCTGGAGTAAGTTTAATCCAGCTTTAAAAATTGAGGTTTTTCTGGGCCGCCCAGATGACTGGAAGCTGGGCTGCAGCATGCAGGGAATAGATGACCTGCTCTTGGGATGCAGCTGTTTTGGATTCCAACCCACAGTATGTGTCAGGGCGGGGTGTGGGGTGTTATCAGGGCCCCCACCTTGGTGGGTTCTAGACTCCAATTTTTTTTTTTTTTAGACGGAGTCTCGCTCTGTCACCCAGGCTGGAATGCAGTGGTGTGATCTTGGCTCACTGCAATCTCCGCCTCCCAGGTTCAAGCTATTCTCCTGCCTCAGCCTCATGAGTAGCTGGGATTATAGGCATGCGCCACCATATGCGGATAATTTTTGTATTTTTAGTAGAGATGGGGTTTCACCATGTTGGTCAGGCTGGTCTCGAACTCCTGACCTTGTGATCCACCCGCCTCAGCCTCCCAAAGTGCTGGGATTACAGGCGTGAGCCACTGTGCCCGGAGACTCCAACTTTTATCCCCTAACCCCATGTGGCTCTCATGAATAATGTTCAACCTCTCAGCTGTCTTTTCTTGATTGGCAAATATTGTTAGGTCAAAAGTGGCCCAAATGCAGCTCACCTGTCAGGATATCCGCTTTCTTCCGGATCTTAGCCCAGGATTCTGTACTATTTTGTCAGGGCTCCTATGCTTTCAAGCAAGCATTCAGCTCACCTCACTGTCGTTAGCAGGAGGGTTGGTCCAAATTAGCTAATTTGCTATTGCCAGAAGCTGCCATTTCTGTATCTTAGTTTATTCTTTCAAAAACTCAATCTTCGACAGCTGAGAGCAGTATTTAAAAATTTCTCTTCTCCTATATGATTTGTGGTTTAGGCAACTCCTGAATTTTTGATATATTTCACATTTTATCTTTTGAGATAGCATTATTTAATGTCTTAAGGTTTATAATGGTTATAAACACATGGTGAATATTTTATGCCTTCTATTTCCCAGCCATTGCTTTTTTGTCTTAAATTTTACGTTCTGTTTTTTGTGTAAATTTCATCTACTTTGTATATCTTTGCCTATATTATTATTTTGTAACCATTCAAAAATATTTTGCTTTAAACCTGTGTTATAAAAACATTCACATTGCTTATCATTACTAGCATGATTTACCTACTGTAATTTTATGTTACACATTATATATCTTTTGTTCCTCTTTATTATTTTCTTGTCTTTTGCTATATTAATCCATTTTTTTCTTACTCTTTCTCTCTAGGTTCTTGGGAATTTTCCATTCAGCTTTTATTCTATTAGCGGATGGATAACTTTTATTTATTTTTTATCTTTTTATTTTTGAGACAGGTTCTTTCCCTGTTGCCCAGGCTGGAGTGCAGTGACTCAATTTTGGCTCACTGCAGGCTTGACTTCCTGGGCTCAAACCTCCGAGGACTGGGACTACCAGCTTGGCACGCACCATCTTGCCCGGCAACTTATCTTTTTTGTAGAGATGATGGGGGTGGGGGGTGGTTCTCAATATGTTGCCCAGGCTGGTCTCAAACTCCTGGGCTCAAGCAATCCTCCCACCTTGGCCTTCCAAAATGCTGGGATTATAGGGGTGAACTACTGCACCTGGCTGATACCTTTTATTTTTAAAATCTCTTAACTTCCTTTTTTTTTTTTTTAGATGGAGTCTCGCTCTGTCGCCCAGGCTGGAGTGCAGTGGCATGCTTTCGGCTCACTGCAACCTCCGCATCCCAGGTTCAAGTGATTCTCCTGTCTCAGCCTTCCAAGTAGCTGGGATTACAGGCGTACGCTGCCACGCCTGGCTAATTTTTTTTTAATTTTTTAGTATTTATTGATCATTCTTGGGTGTTTCTCGGAGAGGGGGATTTGGCAGGGACATAGGACAATAGTGGAGAGAAGGTCAGCAGATAAACATGTGAACAAAGGTCTCTGGTTTTCCTAGGCAGAGGACCCTGCGGCCTTCCGCAGTGTTTGTGTCCCTGGGTGCTTGAGATTAGGGAGTGGTGATGACTCTTAACCAGCATGCTGCCTTCAAGCATCTGTTTAACAAAGCACATCTTGCACCGCCCTTAATCCATTTAACCCTGAGTTGACACACCACATGTTTCAGAGAGCACCGGGTTGGGGGTAAGGTTATAGATTAACAGCATCCCAAGGCAGAAGAATTTTTCTTAGTACAGAACAAAATGGAGTCTCCTATGTCTACTTCTTTCTACACAGACACAGTAACAATCTGATCTCTCTTTTTCCCCACATTTCCCCCTTTTCTATTCGACAAAACCGCCATCGTCATCATGGCCCATTCTCAATGAGCTGTTGGGTACACCTCCCAGACGGGGTGGCAGCTGAGCAGAGGGGCTCCTCACTTCCCAGACGTGGCGGCCCGGCAGAGGGGCCCCCCACCCCCCAGACGGGGCGGCCGGGCAGAGGAGCCCCCCACCTCCCAGATGGGGCGGCTGCCGGGCGGGGGCGCCCCCCCATCTCCCAGAAGGGGCGGCTGGCCCGGGTAATTTTTTGTATTTTAGTAGAGACGGGGTTTCACCGTGTGGCGTAGGCTGGTCTCGAACTGGTGAGCTGAGGCCATCTGCCCGCCTTGGCCTCCCAAAGTGCTGGGATTACAGGCGTGAGCCACCGCGCCCGGCCTAAATGTCTTAACATCAAGAATAAGGCCATATCGATCAATAAGATACATGCATACTATTTTGCCACCTCTCACTTTTTATTAATAGTATACTCTTTCTTTGCTACCTCCCAGTTTTTGTCAAAGTAAATTGTGATACAAAAACCCCAATTTATAATCATGAAATATTTATTATATTTAATTTTAATAATAATGATTAGTTTCATATTATATTAATTATAATTATTTCGTTCATTTAGTTTTATTGATTTGATTGTTCTTTGCCTTTTCTTTTACATTTTTTCTGTTGAATTATTTATTTTGATTCGTTTCTTAGCTGGCAGGACTATGTCCTCAAGTACTATTTTTCAAAAAGGGCTTATAGAAGAGCTCTCCCATCCTCAGTGGAGTTGGCTAACATCCTGTACCAGTTACCAGTTTATTACTCTCTGGCTCCAAACGTTTCTCCCTTGCCAGCGGGCACAGTGTTAAACTGTGTCAGTAGAGGGCGCTAGAGGACAGAGAGAAGAAGAGACTTCTCTTGCGGTTTCTTTAAGCTTTCCTTCCTACTTGCTTTCGGGACTCTGAACCCCCGGGGTTCTCAGCTCAGTTTCAGGGCACTTCCGCAGGCATCTTCACGGCTAGTTCTGTGGGTGTCCCACTTAGTTTCCCAGTGGCGAGTTCAGCCGCACCGTCTTGGGTGGATTCCTGGTGGAGCCGACTTGACCCAGCCAGTTTCCTGCGAAGTCCCGCATGCGCACTTCCCCGGGGGCAGCTTCCCAGCAAGTTCTGCGTGAGTCCTAGGTGGCTTTGCCATGAGTTCAGCGCATCCCCCAACAGCAACTTCCGGAGGAATTTTGTGGGCACCCCAGCAGGGGGCTTCCAGCCCCTGAGCCGTGGCCTGCCGTTCTCTTCCCCACAATGTTCGCTCTCTTGACTGTGGCCCGGTTCTGTCCAGGGACAACCCAGAGAACTCTTCTGCCCTCAATGGGCTGCAACGCACTTTCTCCAGCAAGGACTGAACCCCAGTCTCGGAGAGCTAGGCTTCTTCACGTTCGTTCTTTCTTTTTGGGTTCTCCCCCACCCCTGCGAGATCATCTAACATTCCTCTTTATTCCCACTGCACCATTAATTTCTATCCTGACTGATTCACAACCCCGAGTTCCGAAGCAAGGGCAAGCTGTGGGGCGCTTCTTGCCGTCTCTACTCAAAACGGAAAAAGCTGGCCAGGCGCGGTGGCTCACGTCTGTAATCCCAGCACTTTGGGAGACTGAGACAGGAGGATCGCTTGAGCCCAGGAGTTCAAGATCAGTCTGGACAACGTAAGGAGACCCTGTCTCTTCAAATATATATATATATATATATATATATATATATACACACACACACACACACATATACATATGTGTATATATACATATATATGTGTGTATATATATACACATATATGTGTGTGTATATATGTATATATGTATATAATTATATATGTATATATGTGTATATATACGTATATAATTATATATACACACATATATGTGTATATATGTAAAATTAGCCAGGCATGGTGGTACGTACCTATGGTCTCAGCTACTCAGGAGGCTGAGGCAGGAGGATCGCCTGAGCCCTGGGGTGTTGAGGCTGTGGTGAGCTGTGATGGTGCCACTGCACTCCAGCCTGGGGCAGGGACTGAGACCCCATCTCAAAAAATAAAAATAAAAAGAATGGAAAGAACCAATGAAATCTTGATGCTATTAACACCTCTGAATATTTCACTGGTTTCTAGAATCCACACAAAACAGGAATCCTACAGAATGATGGCTTGCAGAGGACATTGTAACAGGGCAGTCAAACCAGTTGGAGAAGTGTGCTCTGTCCTATAAAAACGTGCTCCTTCCTGACGTCTACCCCATGTTGGTGGGCCCATGATCTCCTCCTAGACCTCTCAGCTGAAATCAGTCCTGTCCCTGTGTTTGGTGTCCTTCATACCCTCTCGTGGCTGCCTCCCTGCCACGGCCCTGGCTCAGGCCCTGGTCACCTTGCCTAGGGTAGTGGCTTCCCTGGGAATGCCATCTCCACTCAATACTCCTTCTGGTGCTAGAGTGCCCTGCTCAAGGCCTCACCTCCCACGAAGCTTCCTGAACAGCTTAACTCACTGTTTCTTCCTGTTCTGCCCTCTCCTATTATCTGTGCAAATCTGAAGGCACTTTCTGCTCTGTCATGTACCTGATCTTTCCTGCCAGCCTAGACTGCTTTGATGAAAACTGCATCAGATAGCAGAGGAAACACTTATTTGTATGGAAGTGGCGTCCTCTGCTGGTAGAAGTATGTAATGACTGGAACTTTTCCCTAGCTGTGTAAAGGACCCTCACTGCCCAAAGCTGAGACAACCAGTGATACCCAAGGAAACCCAGCTGCCCTTCTCTCTGCCCACCCCAGTCCCTAAGCATGTAAAATTCAATCCACTGACTCACTCACCAGATTTCCACACCTCACTATTACACTAAGATGTTCCTGATGCTCCAGTCTCATGGATAATGGCAATCTTTAACATTAATTGGATATGCACTGTATATGCCAGGCACTGGGCTAATCTCTTCATCTGTATTATATTATTTAACCCTCATAGCAACTTTGTACGGCAGACAAGTGGACCAGATTCCTTAAAAGCAGAGCCTGGGACAGATTTCATGCATATCTTCTTCTGTTGGGGAAGAACCCTCAGAAGAAAGAAAAGGAAGGAGAGTGGGGTGGGGAAGGAGGGAGCCAGGCTGTGGTGTCAGCTGTGGCTGAGCTGCGGCCTGATTTCATGGGGATCCCTGAAGCATGTGCTACACCAGAGTTCATCTTGTCTTGAGGTCGGGGACTGGCCTTTCCTGCCCCTGTGTCAGACAAGCATCGGCTGCAAGCCCCAAGTAAGGCAGCTTCCATTCCCGGGGAAGTCTCTGCAGAGGGAATAACTGTGAACTGTTACCAGCCAAACCTCACAGCAGCCGGTGGGCAGGGATGGAGGGTTGCACCAGACCAGTAAAGGGGATTTGGCTGGGCACTAATAGCAACCATGGTACTGTTATTTCTACTGTACAAATGCAGAATTATAATCTTCCAGGTTTGTAGATACTTTATAGATTTTGAGTGTTTTCATATTCATTACCTCATTCAATGTTACAGTAAGCTTGAGAGGTAGTGATCATGATCCCCACTTTATGAATGAGAGTGAGAAGTGGGAGACTTCCTCAGGATTGTCCAGCCAATAAATACCTTCTCTGTTTATAAATAGCGTCTTCTCAGATACATAGGCAGCTGTATTGGGTCCCAGTCCAACCTCTTCCCTGTGACATTCAGGCTCTGGTCGTTTACCAAGGATCTTACAGCCCTTTTAACTCAAAAGAGCCATGAAGCTGGCAACCTTCCTTGCTGAGACTAGGTACGAGGATACACCTCCTATCAGGTGAGGCCTTACCTTGCCTGCCTGACACTTTGCTGGGCTCAGAATGCTTCTCCAAATTCCCCCATGGAAAGAAGACACCCGGGCACTTCTCACCTGCTCCTGCTTCTGCAGTTCCCTTGGCAGTTTCCTTAGAGGTGTCCCAGCAAGCTAGAGTCTGTCAGAGGACATTGAGGGCCAGGCCAGAGAAGTTTAGAAAGAGTCCCAGGACTACCTGAGCACTGCCTTCACCTGCCACAGGGGTAGCTGTGCAGCCAGTCTTGTGGCAGAGGCTGGGGTTTCCTGGATCTTAGAAGTGTCACCTCTTCCACCCTCTCAGGGCCCTGGACTTTCGCCCTCAAGCTGCCTCTGGATCTAGCAAAGGCCCTGAGCCATCTTTGGAATGGATGAGTTCGAAAAGCTGCATTAGAGTGGCTCCCCTCCTTCAACGCCACCTCATCAGAGTTCTAAGGGATGCTTCACACCTAAGAGCTGATGAGGTACAGCAGGAGCACACAGGGGACCCAGAAACCTCGCATTGTGTTGAGAAACAGCTGACTGACTCAGGTTCAAATCCCCCACTCTATCACAGGGCATCTCAGTTAAGATGAGGTAGAAATGAGAGTAACAGAAAATTCACAACAGCAGCAATTGTGTTGTTATTGAGTGGCCCTTGCCCTCATGGTACAAGGTAGCACCTGCCTACCAAGTAGCAAAACAGAGGGAGGGACAAAGAAGAAGGAGCAGACAGCAGATGCACAACCTGTGTCTTAAGAAAGGTTCCCAGACACTGCTGCATAACGCGTCTACTTACTTCTCTTTGGCCAGAACTCAGTCATGTGACCACGCCTACCCACACAGGAGACTGGGAAATGCAGTCTTCATTCTGGGCAGCCATGTTTCCTGCTACAACTTTTCTTACCCTGATAAAATAGTAGAAAGTTATTGGAGACTAGCAGCTTCTACCACACTAGATTCTGGCCTCGGGCAAGTCTCATGGCCTCTCTAGGCTTGGAGATAATGCTATCTTACAACAAACAATTTGTATTAACTGAAGCCTCCGATGCAAAGGATCTAGCACAGAGCCTGGAATATACTATGCACAACCTCCCCTTCTCTGTTCCTGCCTCCAGATATTCTGAAGTGTGTGGCAGTAGCTCAAGTGCTCTCAAATGTGGCCACAGTTCCTGCAGCCCGTGTCTGAGTGCTTTCTCTATGCAAACTCACAGGATCACCCTGTAACTTCTTACCAGAACTTCTGAACCAGACCTCAGGGTAGTAGAGTAAGTCACAGTGACATTTAAAGAAGAAATAATGCCACTATCACACAAACGATTTACTCCGTGGAGTCCATGCATTATCCCATTCCATTCCTGCACAACCCCAGGCCATAAGAACTATTATCCTGACTGACAGATTTGGAAACTGAGGTTCAGAGAAGTTAAGCAGCTTGCCCAAGGTGACAGATAGTAATTGGCTGAACTGGGATCAGATCCCGGTCTATCTGGCTCCAAGTCCTTGTCCTGTAATCATCATGGTACAGCAGTGAGGGGTTTCCCTGTATGAGGCATCTACTCACTGCCCAGTGATGGGAACTATTGTTAAAAGATCTCAGGCACACAAGAGAATCAGGGAGGAGTGGGCCCATGAAGGAAGCCTTTTCCCAGGTGAGGAGACTTAGCTGAGCTTTGGGGCCTGTGTGAGACACTGACTACAGTTGTTACCAGGCAGGCAACCTAAGAAGACGCCTGGAGCCTGGAGACATGATGGGAGTCATAGCCTTGGACTTGCCTACACACTCCTCATATTGCCCCAGCCTCAAGGGCAGACCGCCAGGACCAGATGGGAGTGGGGACAGCCCTGGCCCCTGGCCAACAGCTCTGAAAAGAAAAAGTTTCTTTGTAAGCTGCAGTAAATCCTTAGGGTTAATTGCAGCCTGAACGTTCATTTCAAAGACCTCACTTCCTGAATCCCAGGAGCATCCAGAAGAATGGCACCAAGGTGGCCCAGCCCAAAAAAGCAAGACACGAACACTGTCTCAACCTGTACGTTCTCAAGGATAAAGAGGGCCCCTACTAGCAAGACAAATGGGTGGCCCCTATGATCCTGGAGGGGCTGAGCACAGGGGAAGGATGGCATAGGAGACTCCCACCAAGAAGGCAGTGATCCTGGGCTTGGGCGCCCACTCCCTGCCAGAGAACCCAGCCTGGCCTGGCTTCAGGAGCCCTCTAACCTTCACCCTCAGGCCACTTGACCTCCACCTAAATCCAGCACTGCTCCCTGTAGGAAGGCAGGGGTGTGACTTCTTGGTAGTCTCATCTGGCCTGTCTCCCCCAGGGGTGGGAGCTCCCCGAGGGGAGGGCTGTTGCAGGCCCCTTCAGGACCTCAGTTCCTGCAGTGGTCCCCCAATTACGCTTCCTCACTAAGTGTCTGAGGGAGCATTTGCCCAGCATCGCGATTCCTTTAGCCCAGAGCCCTCCCTGAGCAGGCCCAGGATATAGAAATGGTCCAGCGTTGGCCTTTGACCCGGGAGAACAGGGTGAAGGGGACACCCAGGTGCGGACTCCTGCGGGGGTCTGGGTGGGCCCAGTGACGTCAGTTCTGGTTCTCCAGTGAAGGAGACCAATTCCAGGACTGCCCCCAACTTGCTGTGTGATCCTGGGACATTTGCTTAAACTCTCTGAGCCTCATCTTTCCTTTCACACGACAGGGAGACGATCCTGCCTTTGGGAGAATGACTTGAAGTAAATCACTCTTAATCCCTAGACGGAAAGGAGGGAGCGGGAGAATTTCTGCCATCCCACGGGACGCAGCGCAGAGGAGGCGGCTCCCCCAGCTTATTAACCACAGACCAGGTGTGCACGCCCAAGCTCACCGGCAGAGGGCGCCAGGCCTCCGCTTGGTGCTCGAGCCTCGAGGCCCAGAAAAGGTAACCTGGTCCCCAGAGGTCTGAAATCGCTGATTGTGTTTATTCAAAGCCAGTCACCATTGCTCACCCGTCTGACTTACTCTGGGTGTGTGTGGACGGGCGTGCATGTGACCGCGTCTGTGCACCGGGGCTGTGCTGTGGGCTTTGTGCTGAGCCAAAGGTGGGGCTTCTCCTGTCCGCCCGGTCCTGGACTCCCGGCAGCGGCCGGCAGAGGCGGTGCTGATGCTGTAGGAGGGTCAGGAGCCACTGCCTCGTGCTCAGCCCCACGGGCGCCACTCTGTGTGCCCTGCAGCGGGGAGGACCCACAGGGTAGACCGCCTCCTTGGCCGGTGACCCCTGCAACAGAGCCGTCTCTCCGGTGCTCTTGCTCGCCAAGTCAGTGTGAGGCCCGGACGGAGGAAGCCCTGCTTGCTTCTCTGTTCAGAGGAAAGGGGCCAGGGGATTGTAAAATAGGCCTTAGGTTATTGGACAAGAAGACAAAACCAAACCAAACCAAAAGCCTGGTGAGATCACGGTCTCACCCAGACGCAAGTGATTGCTCAGGTCAAATCAGCCAGCCTGGGCTCTGATAACTGCCGGGCCAGGTGGAGCCCGTGCACAGGGGAAGGGGGTTAGCATGGCCTCTGCCTGGGGCTCCCAGCCTGAGGAGGCAATGCATCCTTACCCCAAGAGACCACTGTTTGCAGGACGATACTCCCCAGGATAGTCAGGCTGGTCTGGGAGGCAGCCTGTGGCCACACAGGGTGGAGAATGCGAACTCAAACTGTGAAGCAGACAGGGCTCGCGGAGGCCCCTCCCATCTGCCCCGCCAGCATCCCCTTTTTGCTTCTGCACTTCCCAGAATCACCCTTTTCATAGACACTTACCGAAGGGCCACCATGTGATCATCCTTCCCAGGCTGAGGGTACAGACAGGAGCTGGCAGAGCAGGGAGGGTGCTGGGCATCTACCACAGGGTCAGGAGCCCTGGGGAAGTCTCCTGATGGTGGTAGGTGGCTGGGGGTGGGGTGGGGGTAGAGGGCTGCCAACAAAAGCTTCCAAGACCCTGAAGGAGGCAAGGCACGCTGAGTTTTAAGGAGCCAGAGGCATCATCTTATCGGGTGACAGGAGTGAGGCCCCACTGCAATGCCTGCCGTGGAGGGGCCAGTGGGCTAGGCAGGCACACACAGCAGCTGTGATAACTTTGGGCAGACCATAAGGCAGTTTACGGTTTGCTGAGTCATTTTACAAATCTTTATTCTGTGAGGTTGGTAGAAAAATGAAGCTCAGAGAGGTTAGGTAACTTGTCCCAGGACACAGAGCCAGGACTTGGGCCTGTATATCCCAAGCTCTAGCCTGAACTGGCTCCTTAGGTAGCCTCTGCCCCTCCCACTACCCCAACTCCCTGAAGCAGAACCTTGGTTAGAGCGGCAGGGCCCGTCTTGTTTTGACAGGTCTAGAACTTGTCTTTGTTTTATTTTTCAGGACACCAGAACTGGTTAACATCTACAGGCCTGGCTCACCCAACCAAACATACGGGAGGTGGGTGGATGGATAAACAATGCCACTGTGACCGCTTACAATGAGCGCCAGTTCGTTTAGAAGGCTGATGTCAGGAATTGGCTCAAGTCATTCATTCCCTCCTGGTGATGCCGGGCAAATGCAGAACCAGGGCAAATGCAGAACCAGAGCAAATGGAGCCAGCCTTTCTCGAAGGATTTCTCAGTCTGTCAGACTGGGCTACAGAAATGTGTGACGTGCCGGGAAGTGTCAGGGAAAGTGTGGCTCAGGAGTGACCTGGGTTGTAATCTTAGCTCTACCAGTTCTTAACAACATGTCCTTGGCAGGTTGCTTAAGCCTTGGCCTTTTGTTCATCTGATACATGGAGATGATCATAGAACAACCCAGAGAGTTGCTGGGAGGAGCATACAGATGATGTGCTGTGCAATGACTAGGTCCAGGCAGATGCAACATAAACAGTAGCTCTTGCTATTACTGGACAGCTGGGTGACTTCCCTGTCTACAGAAGGCGTATTTACAATGGCCACTGTCTGCAAGCTGTTCTTCTTCACCCCGGTCAGCCCTGGGTCCTCTCACAAGCCCTTGCTATTCCTCGAGCCCTTCTCTTATCACAGTGTCTCTCCAGTCAGGCAGGTGTCAAATAATTCATTGGGCTACAATTTGATTTAGTGACATTCTTTTTTCTTTCCTTTTTTTTTTTTTTGAAACAGAGTCTAGCTCTGTTGCCCAGGCTGGAGTGCAGTGGCGTGATCTTGACTCACTGCAACCTCTGCCTCCTGGGACAATAGGCACACACCATCATTCCTGGCTAATTTTTGTATTTTTTGTAGAGACGGGGTCTCACTGTGTTGCCCAGGCTGGTTTCTCAAACTCCTGGGCTCAAGTGATCTACCCACCTTGGCCTCTCAAAGTGCTGAGATTGCAGGTGTGAACTCCATGCCCTGCCAACTGAGTGCCATTCTTACCTTAAGGGTGCACAGCACTCAACTTGAGGGAGATGTTCTCTGGTTCCTAGAGTGGATTTGAAGATACTATATCTCACTTCCCTCAGCCACATGCCTTCCCTGAGTGACAGGTTTCCCAGGTGACAGATTTCCAAGTCTGGGGGACCTGGGATGACAGCTGATCCTGCCACTTGCCACAGCGTGTGAACTTGGGCATGTTTCTTGCCCTTATGGAACCCCAGATTCCTTATGTGTCAGTCGGGGCACACTCAGCCACAGAGCTGGGAGAGGATTACATTTGAAATGTGTAAAGTGTCTAACGCCTGGCCCAGTGTGAGGAGGGACTCAGTAGGTGATCGTTGTCTTGGCCGGGCGCGGTGCCTCATGCCTGGAATCCCAGCACTTTGGGAGGCCGAGGTGGGTGGATCACAAGGTCAGGAGATTGTGACCATCCTGGCTAACACAGTGAAACCCTGTCTCTACTAAAAATACAAAAAATTAGCCGGGTGCGGTGGTGGGCGCCTGTAGTCCCAGCTACCGGGAGGCTGAGGCAGGAGAATTGTATGAACCCGGGAGGCAGAGCTTGCAGTGAGCTGAGATTGCGCCACTGCACTCCAGCCTGAGTGACAGAGTGAGACTCCATCTCAAAAAAAAAAAAAAAAAAGATAACTGTCTCATAGTTATGACACAGATGCTGGTTTTTAAAGTTTCAAATATAGAGATTTTACCAAGCCCATGGGAGAGAAAGATCAACTTCACAAACAGGGCTATGGGGCAGGTTTTCCGCAGGCATCTGAACCAGGTTGGCCGAGTCCCTCTGCTCCTTGGCCTCAGCTCTGTGTCCCTGATCCTGCTGGTATGAGCCCACCGGTGGAGAAGGGAGACGAGGGAGGAGGAAGTCCCGGGGTGATCTGCTTCCCCCATTCCCCCCAGACTGTTTCTTACCTGGAGACCTGAGGGACCAAGGAACTGAGGCTGGAGCTGCCCAGAGAAATCTGAAGATTTGGGGTTGGTGGGTGGAGAAGAGGGTGTGGGGTGCTGCTTGGGCCAGGAGGATGGAAGCCTTTTGGAAGAGCCTTTCTTCCCGGCGATGGCCCCCTCCCAACCTCTACCCCACTGACACTCTCTACACAAACCTCTGAAGGAGAGAGGCAGCCCCCAAACAGATCTTCTTGAAGATACCCCAATTCAGGGTCACCCTTCAAGAAAACACACCCCTAAGAAAGCTAACTCCTATCCCTGCTCTGCTTGGAAGCCTGCTGTGGGTGACATGAACACAAGCCAGCCTAGAGCAGGTAGGACATCGGGATCCCCTGAACTGTGTGTGCTGCACACACAGCTCACAGACGTCCTTCACAGCTGGCACTTCCATCCCTGCTCATCACTATCCTGTGGGTTAGCAAAGCAACTGTTTTTATTCCCATTTTACAGACCAGGAAACTGGGTCCCAGGAGGGAAGGGGCCTGCTGAGGTCACACGGCCTATCCTTCATGCTAGAGTACATGGAGAACAGGACTTGCTGTCTCCCAGGGCGGCCCCTGATGAGCCGAGAGCCCAGAAGGGTGTTTGGCTGACTCGAGTGCTCAGCTCAGCTGCCTGGTGAGATGTGCCAAGTCGCAGTACTTTAGAAGGGTGGGAGGCAGCCCGTGCCTGGAAACAGCACCCTGGCTGCCCCCACCCAGGCCCTGACCTGCTGGATGGGGCTCAGACTCAGGAAGAGCTGCTGGAAACCTGGGTTCCCCCTTGGCTAGGAACAGAAGGGTTAGGAAGCGCTTGGGGAGGAAGCTGCCCTCAGTGCTTACCTGTGGGAGTCTGTGGTTTCCCTCTGTTTCCTTGTCCCTCTGGGTTTTTGTGTTACTTTGTTTTTGGTTTTCTTTTTGCTTTTTTCCAGGGCTGACAAGAAAAGGGGAGACAGGGGTATAAATTTCTGAGCTGGAAATCTGGAAGGGGAACTGAGCTGGACTCTGATATGTATCACATTAATCCTGTGTAACATTTCTCATAGGCCTGCCCTTGCTGTGTCTTTGAAAATTGTCATGGCTCGCCAAGGTGGGTGGATCACCTGAGGTCAGGAGTTCAAGACCAGCCTGGCCAACATGGTGAAACCCCATCTCTACTAAAAATACAAAAATTAGCCAGGCACGGTGGCGTGTGCCTGTAATCCCAGCTACTCAGGAGGCTGAGGCAGGAGAATCACTTGAACCTGGGAGGTGGAGGTTGCAGTGAGCGAAGATCGCGTCACTGCACTCCAGCCTAGGCGACAGTGAGACTCTGTCTCGAGAAAAAGAAAAAAAGTTGTCATGGTTTGAACCCATACTTGGTGGCCCCATCTCTGTCTCTGACTGTCTATCTGCCTCTGCCTCCCTCTGTCTCTGCCTGTTTCCTGTGTCTGTCTTTGTCTCTATGTGTGTGTGTACAAATACATATAGGTATATATATTCTGTCTTTCTCTGTTGCTGTCTCTCCCCCGACCAATCTGATCTGAAGGATCACAGAGCTGGATGGGACAAGGGTCACCATCTCATCCATTCACAGCCTTTGACCAAGATGGTCTGTGAACCATTGGATGTGGGTTAGGTTTTGAAACAAACTTCCCCTTCCCGCCCCACTTGGGCATCAGTTCATGCTCAGCTTGGGTTTAACAGTCTCCAGATTTCCTCTTTGAGCCAAATTCTCACCCTTCCTGCTGCTGTTTGGACACTTGCTTTGGTGTCCTACAGGGAATAATGATAAGGCAGAGGTCACAGTCCTGGCCCCCACCCAGCCTTGCCTGCTGCGCAGTGAAACTGGTGTTTGCCGGGGCCGGTCTTGGCCAGGAGAGAGGAGGAGGGGTGGAGGCAGCTGGGGAGTGTGAGCAAGATGCCGCGGGGGCTCGGGGGAGACTGCAGCCAAGTGCTGCGTCTGAGGATATTTATAGACAGACACACAGAGAGACATGCACGCAGGGACAGAGTACTGTTTGTTTCCTGGAAACATGGACTGTTCTCTCAGTCCTACCAGATTTCCCAGGGAGCATCATACTGAAATAGGGAAAACTGTGTCTGCTGCCTGGTGTCCGCCCTCCACATAAGGAGAGATCTGATTCGCTCCACACCCCCTTGGTAACTGCAACGACTGCCCCTAGCCTGGGGAAGCCCTTTCCAGGCGTTCCTGACTGCCCCGCTCACTTCTCTGTCTCATCTCGCCTCCCAGGCCTCCTTGCGCTACTCCCACAGCAAAACACTGCACCAGTGCTTGCCCTTCTTGGGGGCTTCCTGGCCTTTGCACACACAGCTCCGTCTGCCAGGAATGCTTTTCCATCCATTCCTATTCTTCTGGCAAAGCCCTACTCATCATCTGCCCACACGTCACCTCCTCTGAGGGGTCTTTTCTCACCTCTCCTCTGAGAGCTTAGGACTTTGCATGGTTATGTCGCTGTTGTTATTTCTATTTACCTCTGTCTCCGCCTCCAAACCATAAATTCCTCAAAGTCAAGGACTTTCTCTTACTCATCTGTGCGTCCTCAACATGTAGACCAGTGCCTGAAGCAGAGCTGATGAGCAATGGAGAATTGTTGAATGAATGGATGAGATTTGTACAGTATAGCTGCTAAGAGTTCAAGGTCTGTGTTCAGTGGAAGATTTGGTTTAAATACCAGCTCTATGTGAACTTAACCTGGAATTAGAAAACAAAACAAAACAAAAAACAAAAATAAATAAATAAATGCCAGAGCTCTGCCTCTTGCTAGCTATGTGATTTTTCCAGTCACCTGGCCTCTCTAAGCGATTCCACGTCTATAAAGTGGCCTATAACAATAGAACCTTGCAAAGGCCGGGCACAGTGGCTCACGCCTGGAATCCCAGCACTTCGGGAGGCCAAGGCCGGCAGATCATGAGGTCAGGAGATCGAGACCATCCTGGCTAACACGGTGAATCCCCGTCTCTACTAAAAATACAAAAAATTAGCCGGTCGTGGTGGCGGCACCTGTAGTCCCAGCTACTCGGGAGGTTGAGGCAGAAGAATGGCGTGAACCTGGGAGGCGGAGGTTGCAGTAAGCCGAGATTGTGTCACTGTACTCCAGCCTGGGCAACAGAGCAGAGCGAGACTCCGTCTCAAAAAAAAAAAAAAAAAAAAAATAGAACCTTGCTTACGTGATTAACGTAAAATTTTAACGACATTACATATTCCCATGGTGCCTGGCACACATGGGTTTTTCTCACAACCCACATTTTGTCAGCAAACCCTGTAGATTCCTCTTTTAAAATGTCCAGTCTCTTCTTACCTTCCAACTGCCAACAACCCAATCCAAACCACCACCATTTCTCACTGACACCCAGCCCTCACTTATTTCCAGCACAGCTTTCAGAAGCAGTCTCTTAAAAATATGTCACATCATCTGACTCCTCTGCCAAAATTCTCCTTGGCCTCTCCTTCTCACTAGAGGAAAAGCCCAGGTCCTCATCATTCTCATCATGGCCTACGAGGCCCTTTAGGATGGTGTCGCCCACCACCACTGACTCCACCTCTTCACTTTCTCCCCTGCTCTCCTGGCTCCAGCTGCACGCCACTCTGCCCAGTGCCCTTCTACGTGCCATTTCCTCAGCTTGGAATTCTATTCCTTCAGAATCCTCATGCCTCCCTCAAAGGCTGCCTTCTCCATGAGGCCCTCCCTGGCTGTCCAATTTAAACTTTCAATGATATGCTCGCTGTTGGCACATTCTTTTTTTTTTTTTTTTTTTTTTTGAGATGGCGTCTTGCTCCTGTTGCCCAGGCTGGAGTGCAGTGGTGGGAACTCAGCTCACTGCAGCCTCCACCTCCCAGGTTCAACGATTCCCCTGAGTTGAGTAGTCCCTGAGTAGCTTGGACTACAGGCATGTGCCATCATGCCCAGGTAATTTTTGTATTTTTAGTAGAGACGGGGTTTCATCATGTTGGTCAGTCTTGTCTTGAACACCTGACCTCAAGCAATCCACCTGCCTTGGCCTTCCAAAGTGCTTCTTACAGGCATGAGCCATTGCGCCTGGCCTCACTATTGGTACCTTCTATCCCACTTTGCTGCTGGATTATTTCACGTTAGCCTTTATGATAGTATTTATCATTAGTAAATATCATTAATATTTATCAATAGTAAATATCATTACTATTTTAGGTATTTCCTTATTTACCGTCTGTCTTCCCTGGTAGAATATAAGCTTCAAGGGAGCAGGGATTTTTGCCTTTTGTGTTTGTTGCTGTATCCCTAGCATGTAGAACAGTCTGGCATGAATGAGTACTCAGTAAATACTTTGTTGAATAAGTAGATCAGATCTGGGAAGTTTTGCTAGAGTACATTTCCCTCTGTTTACAAGAACTTGGTGCCCCGAGACTGTGAAGATGAGAGCTTATACTGATGTAAAATACGAAAATGTAGCATCCCAGAGATCTGGGTGGGGCTCGGCCACTCCTCCTTGCCCCTGGGCAGCCAGAACTGACTCAGGAGGCAGAACCCCAAAGCATGCTTCTGCCTCAGACTGGATTTTCCCCTCCTTCCAGCCCAGCCCAGCTGCCTCCAGTAGAGGGCTTGGCTGGGAACTTCAAGCTTGTCCTTTTCTCTGGAGAGGATGGGCATTGGGCCTCCACCCTTGGAAGAAGGAGTGGCAGGTGAAGATGACCCACAGCTAAATGGCTGCTAGCTGCCTTTTGTCCAGTTTTCTTGGGATTCCCACAGGGCCTTCCTAGGGAAAAAAATCAATGCCATCCTCCTTGGCCTTGGTTTTCCAAGAAAGCAATGCTCTTCGCTGGGCATGGTAGCTCACGCCTGTAATCCCAGCATGTTGGGAGGCTAAGGCAGGAGAGAATCACTTGAGCCCAGGAGTTCGAGACTAGACAGGGAATCATAGGGAGATCCCGTCTCTACACATAATAAAATAAAATAAAATAAAAAATTAGTGGGGCATGGGGTGGCACGTTCCTGTAGTCCTCACTACTCAGGAAGCATCCGTCTTGTTTCTCCAGATAAACTGAACATTTGCTGACAGCACAGACCCTGTCTTATTCACCTTCATTTGCCAGTACTTTAGAGCATGGTAGCTGCTCATTAAGTTTTTGTGAAATAATTATGAAATTATTCCTATTTCATAATTAATAGTGAAATAAATATTTCACTAGGAGTGAAATAATTATGAAATCACCGTTACCGCCCCCACCCCCAACCTGCCAAAGTCTTCCTAGAAAAGCATCCTGCTGTTTTTCACTGTAACTCCCATCAGGCAGAAAGCCCCAGAACTCGGGGCAGGGAAATGTTCACCCAACCCAATGAGGCCTTCCTGGACCCTCCTTGCCCCTCTCCCACTCCCAGTTCTCTAGCCCCATGTCTAGGAACCTCTCTGGGTCCTCTGGCACTGGTGGTGGGTCCTCTGTCCTGCTCCCAATCCCCTCCCTCTGTCCTAAGAACACTCTTTCCAGGCTCCTAGCTGTGAGTGACACATCAGATACCGCAGCACAGGGTGCTCCTGGATGGAGACAAGGTAGGAGGGTGAGGGATGGTGACAGGATATAAGAAATTCAGAGAGCAGGAGAAATTGGAGAAGGCAGCAAGCCCACTGCCCTCCCTCCCAGCTTGGAGGCTAGATCTTTAGACAAGGTCTGTAAATAACATCAGAGTGGCCTCTGGTTCTGTGTTTGAACTGTGACGTTCTACTCCCCAAATAGAACTCGACTATCTGATCCAGGCATTCCCTGGGCCTGGGGGAGCAGCGAGAACCTGTCTCTCCCTCTCAGGGTACTCTAGAGCCAGGACCCAGGACCCTGCCCCCATGACCCAGCTCACATATCTACGAATCCGTGAGGTTGTACTGAAGGTATGGTTTGTGTGACCTTTGCAACACACTCATGTCTCTGGAGCACCCGAGGTTAGAGTTTTCAACAGTTCATAAGAGAGACAAGTAGTGCTGTGTTTTCTCCCTGAAAATAAGCAGAGATTCTGATGCCCAGGGGGAACACCAGAGTGGGCTCAAAGGTCACTTACTGTGGTCAAGCTCCACAGAAATTCAACCACTCACTCCCCTGTGTTTTGGGTCTCCCAGGAGGGCCTTGGGAGTATGTGCAGTGGGCTGCCCCTATGGGAGGTGGCTGAGAATAGGGAAGGTGGAGAACACAGCCAGGGCCATGCAAGCGTGCAGTGAGGCGTTCTGTCCTGTTACAGTGTGTCTCCCTGCCACCCTCTGTTTCTCCCACCCTCTCGCCCTTTCTGCTCCAATAATCCCTCCTCCCTCCAGAGAGCAGAGGGGTGACTGACGGGTCTGCCATCTGCTGCCTTCCCTCATGCTCCAGGTACCCTGCACAGGAGTAATCTAAACGACTTGGGTAACCGAGATAAGATCCTTGCTGCCATTAAACATTGACAGGCCCCAGTGTGATGAGAGTGCTCAGTTGCAGAGAAACTCCTGGACTAGTCCATGGGGAGGCAGGGAGACCACAGCAGCTGGGCCATTAAAAATGAATGGAAACCAACCCTTCTAAGGGGCTGTGCCTCTTAAAGTGACAGTTCTCCTGTTGGCTGGGGGAGAAGCCAGGAGGATTCAGAAAAGGCCAGGAGGCCCAGGCCCTACCCAGTATTCAAAGTCGTAGCTATTTGTGCCCTTCACACTCTGTTAGTTGGGCGGAAAGAGCGTGGGTTCGGAATCAGGCAGATTTGAATTTGAGTCTCAGCTTGACCCTACAGTGTGGGTTTAGGCACCCTGAACGTTAGTTTGTTCATCTGTAAAATGGGCTTAATACTTACTCAAAAGGCTATAGGAATGAAGTGAAATAATACATATAAGTTGTCTAGTATGGTGTTTGGTCTATTAGAAATAATTACTTAAGGCTGGACATAGTGGCTTATGCCTGTAATCCCAGGACTCTGGGAGTCTGAGGCTTGAGCTCAGGAGTTTGCGACCAGCCTGGGCAACACGACGAAACCCCATCTTTACAAAAAATACAAAAATTAGCCAAGTGTAGTGGTGCATGCCTGTAGCTTCAGCTACTCAGGAGGCCGAGGTGAGAGGATCACTTGAGCCTGGGAGACGGAGGCTGCAGTGAGCTGAGATCACACCACTGCACTCCAGCCTGGGCGATAGAGCCAGACCTTGTCTCAAAAATAAGTAAATAAATAAATAATAATAACTTACAAGTTAGTCCCCCCAGCCAGTTGTAATGGCTTACACCTATAGTCCCAGCTACACAGGAGGCTGAAGTGAGGGGATCCCTTGAGCCCAGGAGTTTGAGGCTACAGTGCATTATTATTGCATCTGTGAATAGTCATTCACTTCAGCTTGGGCAACATAGTGAGACCCCATCTTAAAACAAAACAAACAAAAAATGTTAGTCCCCTTCTCCCTTGCCCCTACTTCTCCTGGAACGGGGTGAGTTTCTTCTCAGACCCAAGTCACCTGAGGAAAACCCTTTCTGGCCTGCTGGGATCTTTTCCCTGTTCTTCTCCCTCCCACAGCTTCCAGAGACCCTGGTCTCATTGTCTGTTCTCTTGCCTGCCTTCCTCTGCTAGACTGGAAGCACTCTGAAAACAGATATCTCAGCACCATTGATTTTCCAGTATCGGGTCAATGTCGGGTGTATACCAGCTGCTTGGAGAATGTTGAATTTAACTAAACTGATAAAATCCTTTAAAAAGATGTATATAAGACCAGTAAGTGGAAGGCAAATGACACAAGATGGAAGGAATTAGGGTAATTTGGCACAGAGAAGGTCATCCCGGCTGTCCAAGCTCACGGCTATCTTAGGTACGGTTAGTCCGACATCCTCACTTTATAATGAAGAAGTCTGAGACCCAGAGAGTCGGTGGCTGAGCCAGAGAGTTCACCAGGCTCCTGACTTCTGGCATCATGCCGGAGAGCTGGGGCTGGGACTGACGGGCTCTGTCCCTCTCCCCCGTGAGCAGGGCAGGATGATCCTCCCAGGCCAAGTGTATGGAGAGGGTCTGTGTCTTACTCCCAATTCCTCAGAATCAGTGCAGGGTGACCCTAAACCCAGAAAGCTCTTGTGACTTTGAGGCCAGCACCACTGTCCTCAGGGCACCTGGAATTTCTTGTTAGCAGGCTGGATGTGCACTTGACTCTGCAAATTTTGGCTCTAGCAATAAGGCCACGTACTTCCTTGATTCTGGGAGGTCAAGCATTAAGTGGGAGTGTTTTTGAAGAGGGAAGAGGATGAGCCACGTCTAACATGGCCAGCCCTTTCCCTGCAGTGCCTGCTCCAAATAACAAACTGATTCAACCTGTCATTAAGTCATCCTGTTATTATGGACTCTGAACTGGTCCTCCATGGAACCACCTTGCAGCTTCCTCAGTGGAATGGCCTGGGGCAAAGATGGATAGGATCCTTCTCAGTAGGACAGGAAGTGGGAGACCCGTCCCAAGGTCCCAGTTGCCTTCTCTGATAAGATCTTTATAGCCTATTCTGTGGGATCATCATGAAGATTAAATAACACAATAAATGTGAAAGTTCTGGGATATAATATAGTTATAATAAATATATGGCAGGATAGGGACTGAATGAGTCAAGTCAGGGACACCTTGGCCAGGTGGGTTTCTTAGTTTGAAAAGGTTCTCAGACCTTCCACTTCCTAATACTCCCAAATGGCTCTCATCACCCCATTGCTGTTGATGAATGTCTCCTGTGGCTTTTAGTCCACAGGAAGGAACTGAGCATTCTCCTCTTGCTGAACCTGGAGCTCAGAGGCCAGGAGAAACATAATATATTATATATAATGTCATATATATTATATATTGATCATGCCTATTACCCCAGCACTTTGGGAGGCTGAGGTGAGTGGATGGCTTGAGCCCAGGAGTTTGAGACTAGCATGGGCAACAAGGTGAGACCCCTTCTCTTAAAAAAAAAAAGAAAAAAGAAAAAAAAAGAAAAAGAAAGAAACAAAGGTGTCGGAATCAGGGAGAGAATTTCTTTTCATAATGGTAGAGAAATTAAACTAGGAAGCCTCTTAAGTAAAGTTCTTTCTTATAATAACAATACTGAGCCCTAAGTGTTTTGCACATAGTAACTCATTAATCAAAAACAATCCAATGTGATAGATATCATTGTAATTTCTACTTTATGGATGAGGCAACTGAAGCACAGCGAATATTAGGTAACTGTTAAAGATAAGATTTGAACCCAAGCGGTCTGGCACAGCAGCCGGAACCTCCGACCACCCATCACACAGTTCCGCCTCTATTAGAAGAAGACCACTCTGGTGAGCTTCCTGGGGGAGGAGAAACTCTTGTTACAATAATCAATAATCAATCAAATTTCCAAGGAGATTTCTCTGGACCTTTGGAGGGAGATTCAAAAGCCCTTCTCCATCCCACTTCTAGGTCTGCTTGCTAAGTCAGGAATAAAGCTACCCTGGATCTTCTGGAACTTTCTGTTCTCTGAGGCAGGAGGGCATTTCTTTGGCCAGGACCTCCCAGCTCAGAGGCTCATTGGCCCCAGAAACATGGGTGGCCCACTGGAGGTGGGCTGTGCCAGTTGGCTTTCAGACGGGAAGCTGCTGGGCACGCTTGTTCTCCACCACACCTCTGCAAGGTGAACCTGGGACTGGGAGGGACAGCCTGCTGAGGACTGAGAGCGTGGGACACTTATGACTGTCACACTCCTTCTCTGCAAATCTTCCTCTAAAAGGCTTCCCAGGGCTTGGCTCTGCTTGGTTCTCTGAGCTCCTCCTGCAGGCAGCTGCCTTTCAGTTCACTATTGTATCCCAGTGAATCCAAAATTAGCTTGATTCACAACAGAAAATGAGCACAAAACCCCTCTATAGCCAGAGAGTGATTGTCTACAAAGTCCTATGTGGTAGAAATAAGGCTTTGCCCCAAGGAGCCATCTGGCTGTGTGCCCTCTCCCACACGCACACTTCCATTTGGCACACTTATTGTTATCCTGTGCTGTGAGGGAACAGAGGTACTGGCCACGGATCCATTGCAGAGGAGCCAGCTTATACTCCCACGGTGCTAGGAAGGAGGCGGGACAGGTAAGACAAGCACACAAACCATGGAAAAAACTGGAGGAAACTTTCCACACCTCTTAAGCAACTGGTGCATTTCCCTGTGGTGTAGGTTGAGTAAGTAAGCCCGAGGAGAGAGGATGGGGTGGACTCAGATGCCCAGGGAGGCAAGTCTTGGTTTGGGGTTTTCAGGAAGGCAGGGCCACTTGTAGAGATTGCAGCTGGTGGTGAACTGGGGTCTGTGGAGGTGGCAGGCAGAAATAGCAACTCGTGTGTCCATGGTGGCACCGTTTTCAATGCGCCTTCATAACCATATCTCGTTTGATCCTGACAGTCCCTCTATAAGCAGTTTGCCACTGTCATTTTTCAGATGAAAACATCGAGGCTTAGAGGGGTTTCTGAGTAGCTGAGAAGTCAGGACTTCACACTCCCGATCTTTCCCCTGGCCTCCAGTTTGCCTGGCAAAGTCACAGGAAGTATCTCCATGGCACCGCATCAGCCCTCACAGAGCAGGAAACCTTGATTTCTACAGAGGCTGTTTCCTCCCAGCCTTGTGCAAGGCCCACTGCAGAGACAAAATTATGGTGGCCAAAGTGTGAATGCCAAGGCCACACTGGTAAGAGCCAGTGGCTGGGCAGCTGCAGTCACCCCACCGAAGGTAGACGGGTGTGGCTCAGTGGCAGGCAGAGGCTGGTCCCCACAGGGAGGAGGAGGGAGCCTGTGGGCGGCCCAGGGGCTGCCCCTCTGTCCCCAGGGGAGTGGGTGGAGGCCTGAGGGGGACTGTGCTGAGATGTTTGGTCATCAGAGGTCTGGGTGGGGGGTTGGGGAGGTAAAGCAAGAGTCTCTTATTTTTAAACCAATCAATGAGAGGACAGCTGTTCTTTGTTTCCATGAGCTCAGCAGAAGAGGAAATGGTTTGCCTGTGCGGTGGGGGAGGAGGAGAGGGTAGGGTTTTAGGTTAGTGCCCTGGCTGTGATGAAGTGGAACTTGTTACCCAAGGACTTCCCTTTTAGGCAGAATGTCTGCTTTCCTACCAGGAAGAGTGGCTTGGCCCTCTGCTGAGGCTCTCAGAGGTTCTCCCAGCCTTGGGATCGCTGAGTAAAACCAGTCAGCACCATGTCACCCTATGGAGACTGGTATTACCTTGCGCCTGTGTGTGGTGACAGCGGGCATCCTTTGGCCTGCATAGCAAAGGGCCACTCCCCTCCTTTCCTCCTGTCTCCCTTCTTCCCCAACCCCTCTCTCTTGGAGGACAGAGTCTGCTCCCCTAAATTCTACTGGGTTCTTTTTCAGGCCTCCATCCCTGGGATTTGCTGGTAGAAGAAAGGGAATCAGCGCTGACTGAGCTCCTACTATGTGCCCTTCCTGGGCCTGGCACTGGAATCACAGGATGAATGAATAAGGCATATTTCCTGCCCTGAGGAGGCGTCTATAGGGGAAGTCGGAATTAAGGCACCTCCAGAATTCTGAGGTCAAGGGAATGTCAACAGAGCTGTGAACAAAATGCCCAAAGCCATGAAAATCTACAGAGAGAGACTCGAAGGGGAGGAATGGGGTAGGAGCTGGTGCCGAGGATGAGAGGGGAGAATTCACCTGGTGGAGAACTGATAGGTGGGGGCTGTTTTCAAAGTATTTTCACAAACGTTTATTCTCTTGACTCTCACAATAAACGAAGCCAGCCAGAAAGTATTCTCCCCATTTCAGTGATAAGGAAATGGAGGCTCAGAAGGGTGGAATGGCCCAGGGCAGGGCAAAGCTGGGGTGGAAGCATCGGTCTTGTGCTTCCACACTCATTGCACTTTCTTCCAGGCCAGGCTGAGGTCGGGATGGTGGAGGAGGTGGTGGAGGTGATGAGGTACCAGAGCAACCTCGAAGAAAGCTGAGAGGCAGGAGACCGCCAAAGGCAAACTTGGAACACCTGGTGACTCCGACTAACTCTCCATGTGGTGTCCTTGAGGACTTTTATGATACTGCTACCACTGCTAATAGTAATAAAAGCCACTATTTAATGTGTTTACTATGCGCTGGGTGTGCAAATATTGTGGAAAGAGTGAACATATGTGCAGAATGCTTAATAAACGTGATCTCCTTTTATCTTCAAAAGAACAATACAGGCCAGGTGCGGTGGCTCATGCCTATAATTCCAGCACTTTGGGAGGCCGAGGCAGATGGATTGCTTGAGCTCAAGAAGTTTCAGACCAGCCTGGGCAACATGGCAAAACCCCATCTCTACAAAAAAATACCCAAAAAATTAGCCAGGTGTGATGTTGCCTGCCTGTGGTCCCAGCTACTCCAGAGGTTGAGGTGGGAGAATCGCGTGAGCCCAGAAGGTCAAGGCTGCAGTGAGCTGTGATCCTGCCACTGCACTCCAGCCTGGGGTGACAGAGTGAGACCCTGCCTAAAAAAAAAAGAATCAATACGATTAATACTTTTACTTCTATTTTTCAGACAAGGAAATTGAGGCTCAGAGAGGTTAGGAACTTGCCAGAAGACCTACCAGCAAGTGGCAGAGCTAAGGTCCCATCTGACCCCAAAGCCCACCCATAACCGCTATGCAGTACTGTCCAGGCAGAAACACAAACATTACCCCATTGTTTTTATTCTTCAACACCTTTGGTATCATCCAGTCCCAGGACACTGGCTCCTGAGGAAGGAAGGCCCCTCCCACATCCTTTAAAATTCCCAGGCATAAAACCATGTTCACCAGCCACCGTGAGGGTAAGCCTCAGAGACAGGGACCGTGCCCACAGCCAAAGCAAACTTGCCACATCCTCGGCCAATGCCCTGCCAAGGAGGGCCACTAGCTATTTTTCATGCCTCAAACTCCCACTCTATCACAGCACCCAGAGCTTGGGGATGGGGTGAGTTGTCCCCCCAGACAACTCTCTACCGTGGAGAGACTGGGCCAGGGGAAGTAGAGAGAGGAAGTAGACCTTAGATAGAGGAGCGAATGTGGGTGGCTAAGCACTGTGGGTGTGAAGGGATGGTTGGGAGGCCCTGGGGACTTTCCCCGGAGGCTGAGCTACCCAATTTACTCCCCAACCCACCACAGGCAGGCACGCACACCCATAATTTCAGGCGAGACGAGGCAGGCCTCTGAGAACAGCACTCCAACAGGCTTTATCTGAGTGCTCAGCTGGACTCAGAAATCAGAGCGCCTCCCCCAACCTGCCCCAGGACAGTGAAGGCTCCATGATGAGCCCTGAGTTCTCATCGCAGTTTCTCTTCCTTTTCTGTTTTTTTCTTGGCCTCTGCCTGGCAGGAGGCCTCTGGAAACCCTCGTTTTTCAGGCTGCTTCTCCGTCAGCCCCTAGGCCAGACCTTTTTATTTGACTGGTCTGGGGAAGACATGGGGAGGCCACTTGGCTAATGAGAAGCCAGTCGCCTTACAGCAGTGCCTCTTCTGAGACTTTCTGGGATTCTCTGGAAACACAGATGCCAGTTTTTCTTTTTATTTGCTTGTTTCAGGACAGAAGAGATTGAGTTTCAATAGGAGATGTGATTGTCTTTAAACACCTATGGGAAAATCCCTGGGCTCTGCAGTAAAAATACACACCATGGCTGTCCATGTCATATGCGTCCTTGACACCACCAGGCAAAATGCACAGGCTGTGAAACACATTTGGACGCCCAAAGAGCAGGTCCTCCAGAGCACAAACACCTGCACCCACCCCAGGACAGAAGTGCTCAGGCAGGTGTCACCAGCGCAGCCCCTGGCCCCCGACTTTCCCCACTCCACACCCCCATTCACACAGAAGGGCAAAGACAGCCCACAACCTTGGCTGGCTGCGCTCAGTCCTTGGCTCCAGCTGCCTGGGCAGGGGTTAACGAGGCAGGCGCGGCCACTCCCTCCCGCCACCTGCCACCCACCGCCTCCCTCCCGCGCCGCGTCACTTGTTTTTCTGCTGGGCTTTCCCGCCTCCCGCCGGCCGCTGACGTGGACTGGGGGCGTCACAGCCTCTACCTCAGCTGCCGGGAAGTGCTTCCCTTATATGGGCACAGACTCCGGAGGGGCCGGCAGGGCAGGGGCGCTCTTGGGGAGGGCAACAGCTGCCAGCCATCAAGGGCCAGGCTCTCCTCTCCCAAACAATGCCCAGGCCGGGGCAAAGGTGACCCGCATTTGGAAAAGGGAGGCCAGCCTCCCTGTCTCCTCTCAAGAGCCAGAGCCCAGGCGGGCAGCCTTCCCAGACGCTGTCGCTCTGCATCCTCCCTCTTTGGGTTTCTCATGAAATGTGCAGAGCTAGATTGAAATGCAGATGACCAGGTGGCCTTTCACTGATGCACTCTGATAGTCCCTGAATGCTCTGCATCCCAAAGTCTACGGCCGGAAGGCTGTGATGCTAGGCCACTGTTGGGTGGTAGAAAGGACATCCTTGCCTCTGCCTTGGGGCCTTAAATTTGTCTCATAATTCTTCAGGCCCCAGCTTCCTTCTCCATAAAATATGGAGGATACTGCCCTCGAGCCTTGTAAGGACTAGATGAGTGTTCTGCTTGGTGTAAAACAGCTTTGCAAGCTGTAAAGTGCTATTCAGACTTACAGGTGGTCACTTGGTGCCAGGGAGGAGGAACCTGTTCAGGAGCCCCCTCCAGAACCTGCCTTTCCCGGGCCACACCCATGTGCTGTGAGAATGCCCTTTGACCCTGTTGAAAAGCTTAAGCTGTGTAAATAAAGTCATCTGGAGTTTGCCTCTTGTGTGTACTGTGGCGAGCTGTTTGTCTGGGGCCTCTGTTAGTAAGCAAGTGGTGAGCATGCTGGAGATGATCCTTCCAGCAGGGAGGGGAACCGCGGGTGAGCGGTCATCGTGCAAACGCCTCGCACAGTACTGGACACTGTGCAGCACATGACTGTCTTCTGTTGCTGCTAGTAAGAACTCTTTCCTTCCAAATCCAGCTCAGCTCAAAACTCCCAGGCCCAACAAGCTATTTCCTGCTGACACCTTCACTCCAACTCCTTGGTTAATTGTGAATCGTGTTTGTGCAGTGTGGCTCTGCCCATATTTGCCTGTCTCCTGGCAGCTTTGCGTCTGTGTCCTCGATGTGGATGCTTCTCCCTCCTTGGGAACTTGCAGCGTCCTGTGGGCAGGAACCGTTTCTCCCCAGTCAGAATGAAGAACCCACACTCTCTACCTCTGAGGGTGGGGACTAAATCTCCTTCCTCTTATCACTCTAGGACAAAGACGACAAAAGGTATCCAGATCACGAGGTCAAGTGATTGATTTGTGACCCATGTGACCCATACATAAATGGCAGTGAGCCATAGGGCCAGCCAGACATGGTAAATTTCTGCAGCATTTCTCCTCCCCACTCATTGGCTTCAACGAGCCCCCACGGAACCCTCTCTCAGGGAGGACTGTGCTAGGTAGCCAAGAAGTAGACTGCACAGTGGGCAGGCAGGTATCCTCCCTTTGGAGATGGTTGTCCTCATTAAACATCAGGTATTTGAAGGTGACACCTAATTCCATGCTCCCAGTGGGTAAACTGTTCGTCAGCTGTGCCCAACTGCTCTTTAGGTGCTGGGCAAGATTGGTTCAATGTTTTATTCGAAGATCGATGAGTGATCCAATAGTTTTCCTCAAAATATTCCAGATTCCCCTGGAAGTGGGGATGGAGGGTGGAGAAGACATTCCTTCTCATCAGTGCCTCTGGCTTTGGGATCTCAAGTCAGTTCCTTTTGGGAATCATCCTGCTGACCCTGAGCGCTCTCACTGTTGTGAGCCGTGTCAGGCCTGTCTCTTGTTTCTTCATATGAATTCCTTACAAGGTCTGTATATACATCATGGGCTTTAGTGAAGGTTGGGGTCTCCTGAGGGGGTTAATTTTGCAAAAATGTAAAGAGCTTAAAAAGGGAGTGTTGGGCATTTCTGTTCTTAAACTTCCCTCGGCTTCCTCTCTCACATTGGCTCTAGGCCCTCCCAACACCATTTTAAGGTTACTCAAGCCCCCTTTTTTTGCTGCTCTCTCTCAGGAACAAAAATATAGATTCCTCTTGTTTTCTTCTGTGGAGTAATTCAGCTCTAACCTCCAGCCACACCTCTGAACCTGTCTAAGAATTCAACGAGATAGGTCCAAAGCTTCTGAGTGTGTAAGTTCGTAGGCAAAGAGCCACTTTTTTTTTCTTTTTTTTTTTGAGACGGAGTTTCGCTCTTGTTGCCCAGGCTGGAATGCAATGGCACAATCTCGGCTCACTGGAATCTCTGCCTCCCAGGTTCAAGCGATTCTTCTGCCTCAGCCTCCCGAGTAGCTAGGATTACAGGCAAGCGCCACTACGCCCTGCTAATTTTGTATTTTTAGTAGAGACAGGGTTTCTCCATGTTGGTCAGGCTGGTCTTGAACTCCCGACCTCAGGTGATCTGCCCGCCTCAGCCTCCCAAAGTGCTGGGATTACAGGTGTGAGCCACTGCGCCTGGCCGAGCCGCTTTTTTTAAGCCTGGCAGGTCAGGCTGGAAGATCGTGGTGGTGGTCTTCCTGGACTTATGCAATGTTTTTACATAAGGATATTGACTTACAATAGATTCTGCTGAATTCAAAAAATAGGGGACACAGAGTTGTTCTCTTTCTAGGAGCTTACCCATTCCCACTAAGATAATCATTCTGTTACATGTTTGGGAGCTCAATCGTCTCAAAGCCCTCTTAGACATACCTCATAACCTTCCTGTCTCCATTCACCTCATGAGTTTTTGCCATGGGTTCCACCTTGCTTCTACACAACTCTAATGCTTCAGGGAGGCAGCTGAAACCACCTGGGGCCACCTGACTATTTGACCGAGCGAGGCTCAACCCCTGACCTCAGAGAGTTCCTGAGCCAAGAGGGAAGGAAGGAAACCCTGAAATAAGGATAGAAAGAAATGTAGAGATGATATTGATTGTTACTATCCCAGCCATTATCCTGATTACTTCTGTTGTCGTTATGGGCTCTTATGAAAGGTAAACCCAATTGAGGAAGATACTAAATGCCAACTGAGAACAACTTCAGACTCTTTGGCTCCAGTATTCCAACATAGGGATTCATATCATAAATTTCTTCTTGAGGAATGTGTGGATGTAGCGGGCTGGTGGGGGTGGGTTTTAACAGGCTAACTTGAATGCTTTTTTATATTTCACAATGAAAACTATATAATGCAGGTATTTCCCTTTTTACCTTGGCTTCCTGGAAGTTCAAAGATAAATTTAGGTGTCAAAGAAGTATCTGATTCAAACAAGTTTGTAAATATCTATCTTTCTCTTTCTTCCTCCTACTACCAATTCGTTTCTGATCTTTAATATAATATAAACACACACATAAAATCATCCTCTATGTGGTTTAATATTTTAAGCTGTCTCAAATTCTTCTTGGAAGTAAGCAAAGTATAAATTATAAGTAATAATAGTTAACATGTACTGACCACTATTATGTGCCAGACACTATTCTAAGTATTGTAAACTCATTTGATTCTCCCAACAACTCTAAGAGGTAAGAATTACTATTAATCTCATTTTATAGATAAAGAAATTAAGGCACAGAAAGCTTCAATAACTTGCCTAAGGTAGCACAGCTAGGATTTGAACCTAAGCAGTGTGGCTTTAAGGGATGTGCTCTGCCCATCGCACTAGAACAAATCCGTCAGTTCAAAAACTTAATTAGCCCATCCAGGGACACCAATGTAAAAAAGCATAATTATATGCCATCGGAGCCAGTCATCATCAAAACAAGACTGATATAAGGCCAGGTGCCTATAATCCCAACACTTTGGGACGCCGAGGTGGGCAGATCCCTTGAGGTCAGGAGTTTGAGACGAGCCTGGCCAACATGGAGAAACCCCGTCTCTACTAAAAATAACAAAAATTAGCCAGGTGTGGTGGCGCACAGCTGTAATCCCAGCTACCCAGGAAGCTGAGGCAGGAGAATAGCTTGAACACGGGAGATGGAGGTTGCTGTGAGCCGAGACCATGCCACTATACTCCAGCCTAAGCAACAGAGTGAGATCCTGTCTCAAAAAAAAAGACTAATATATCATAACAAGCAGCTCAGGCCACCCATTCTTAATCTAAATAAAGATTCCTTTCCACTCCTCCCCAACCTTATTCTTAGTGGAAGGGATGGAGGAAGTAGGATTTAGAATCCTTTCCCACCCTTCCCTAGCCCACTCTCACCCCACTACCCCAGCCCCCTTTTTAGAGACTTTCCTGACATGTCCATTGCCCTATATGTTCCTTACTTTTTTCTTCAATAATGTGGGAAAAATAATGTTTTCACTCCTTCTGTATCACTTGCACGGAGATAATTAGTCAGCTTTTTGATGGACAAAGAGCTGAACAGAGAGAATTTCAGGCAGAGCAAATAATATGAGTAAAGGTACAATAAGCTGGGCACTCAGCTACTCAGGAGGCTGAGGGAGGATGATCACTCGAGGTGAGGAGTTTGATGCTGTAGGGAGCTATGTTCATGCCTGTGAGTAAGCACAGCACTCCAGAGCCTGGGCAACATGGCAAGACCTCACTGTTGAAACTACAAAGGCACAATGGTATGAAAGTGCAAAGTATGTATTTGAGAAACACTGAGAATGGGTTAATTGAGCTTTGAGGTTGGGCCAGATTGTAAAGGCCTTGAAGGCCAAACCAAGAATTAAACTTTCAACTGTAGGGAGCCTTCAGAGCTTTTAAACATGAAAGAGACAAGACAGACCTGTAGTTTAGGAGCTCTGACAGCAGAGTATGGACTGAGGAAAGGGCAGGAAGGGAAGCACTTCAGGCAAAGAGACCACTTAGGGAACTGTTGAAACTATCCAAGAACGATCTAACAGTTGGTGGCTTCAGTGATGCTGAGTAGAAGGTATTTCAAGAGGATAACTGACAGGACTGGGCCAGTAATTGGATATGGGATCCGCTCAGGAAGTAGGGCTCCAGGATATCTTGTCACCTCATCAGGAAAATCCTCTCTTGCTGGCAGGTGATCACGTATTCCACTAGGACCCAAGGAGTCATCAATGTGAACCATAGATGACAGATTAAGAGGCAGGGTGGGTCTCCTAGCCCAATACTCTTTTGTTACATATAAGCAAACTAAGGCTCAGGGAACTCCAACCATCTCTCCCTTTCTCCTAGCTCCTTCCTCCAAACCACACGGATCCCTGGACCTGAACCCATGGTGCAGTAGAGAAGTACCTCAGGCCCAGAGCCAGGAGGCCACAGGTGAGAAGCTGCAGTACCTCTTCTTTAGACTTTTTCTTGTGTCCTCCTTTCTGAATCTGTCTTCCTCTTCCCTTCAGCCCCCATCCCCCAGGTGGTCTCTGGCTGTCACAGCTGTGATGCCAGCTTCCTGCTTGCCCCAGACACTCAGCCCCAGGAGGCCCAGCCCCATTACGGCTCTGCCAAAACAACATCTGGGGAAGCTCCAATAGGTTCAGGGCCTCTTCTCTTGTTTTTTGTCTGGAGATAAAGGGGGTTTATCCTGGGCCCCTGGGAGTGAGGATGAGGAGGGTTTACAACATGTCTGTCTTCTAAATTTGGGAAAGAGGCAATAAATTCAGCTTCAGATCTGCTTCTGTCCCAAGTCCATGTGTTCCCCTGTGAGTTTCTGGCACTTTCAGTCACACCTTCTCGTACCATAGGAGAAGGCCTAGAGGGAGAAGGTGTGGGAGGTCACATTCTTGGGGGGCCTCCAGGATAACAGACTTTTAGCAGATCGTTCCCATCCTTTTGCTCCTGATACACCGAGGGAGTCGCAGAAACAAAAACACATCACTAGGGACCTTTCCAGCCATATTGGTCTGGCCATCTGTCCACGTCTCTTCCCCTTCCCCAGCTCCCACCTCATCCCGTCTTCACTGTCTCTCCTGTACCCTCCGCCATCCTTCTTGCCTTCACCCTTCCCTGACCACACAGCCAGGGTGGCAAAGGAGGGTGAGAAGCCCAGATCATTCATCTTCCCACAGACACTACTGGGTTAGTAGAGCACAGCAGCTGAGAAGCAACCCTCAGGGGAATACATGCCTTTGGGGGGAGCAGATTCCTTCCCCAGATGGGGCCTGGCATAGAGTCAGCTTTAGTTACAAGCTTGATGAATTCCTAACACTTTCCAGCCCCTCCCTCCCAGCAGCAGGAGAGTGGGCCTGTGTGGGCCAACGCGATGCAGAGTAACATGGAGAGGATGAAGAGGTGAGTTAGGGGAGCACACAGCCTGCATCCAGGACCCTGGAGGCCCTGTCCCTCCGAGACACGAAGACCACTCTGCAGTCGTCAAGGCAGTGGCTGGCCCCTGACAGCAGAAATGGAAGTTCCCTGGAGGTTGTCTTTCTCTGCCCTGTGCAGCACTCTGGGTCTCATGTCTCAGTTGCCAGGCCTCTCTCCTAGAACCCTGTGTTTGGTTGCCACCTCCAAGGCCCAGACAAGACTAAAATCCTCACTCCCTCTATGGATGCTGGTCACTGTCCGAAGGACACATGTTCTCATCCCCATTCCACTGTGGGTGTGCTCTGTGGTAGTCTAACTCTCACCACCCTCCTTTCCAAACCCTTTCATTGAGCCCCCTTTGGGCCCAGAAAAGTCCCCTATATCCTCACCCCTCCAAGCATTTTCTCCATCTCCTGGCATTCCCTCAAACAGGCTGTGTCAAGAGAAGCCTGTTTTTCTGCCTCACCCAACACTCCTCAGAATGAGGCAGTGGGGACCAATGTGTCTTGCTCTATGTTAGCCTTTCCCTGCCATCATTCCTCATGCCTTTCTCCGAAGTTCATTTATCCCACTGTCTCATCAACATGGGCCCTCCCGGCCGCTCTTTCTCATTGACTAAAGATCTTGCCCTGCGAGGGTTAGGGCCTTTCTCTGTACTCTAAATTCCTGCTACCACCTGATGAAACATCAACTTCTATGTGAGTAGCTGAACTCATTCTGCTCCTGGGCTCCTCTGTGTCTCCAAGTGGCCATCTCACGCACTCAGCCTCCAGCCCTCACCCCCAGATAGACACTTGGAATGCTGATACCAACTCCCAAACCCACCATGGTCCACCGCTGGCTCCCAGGGGAACCCAATACATATTCCTTGAGTAAGTGAATACATGAATAAAGCCAGGGTCACATGATGGGAATCTGGCCTAATGGAAAGGGCCCTAGGCTGGGTGGGAGATCTAGGTTCTAGTCCTAGCCCTGCCACTAAGTAGCTGTGTAACTTTGGACATCTTTTTTTCATCTCATGGCTTTCTTTTCTCCATCTGAAGAATTAAAATTTTTGTGTAGATTATTTCTGAAAACCCTGCTTCTGACAGTTGGCAATTATGAGATATGGTTTGCTGAGCATCTATAATACTTAGGTAGTATGCTAGGTGCTTCCTATAAATTACCTCTCATATACCTAATAACTAAAGGCCAGGTGAGGTGGCTCACGCTTGTAATCTCAGCACTTTGGGAGGCTGAGGCAGGCAGATCACGAGGTCAGGAGTTCAAGACCAGCCTGGCCAAGATGGTGAAACCCCGTCTCTACTTAAAATACAAAAATTAGCCAGGCGTGGTGGCAGGCACCTGTAATCCCAGTTACTCAGGAGCCTGAGGCAGGAGAATCACTTGAACTCGGTGGGGGGCAGAGGCTGCAGTGAGCCGAGATCTCGCCATTGCACTCCAGCCTGGGTGACAGAGTGAGACTTCATCTAAAAAAAAATATATATATATATATACACACACACACACACACACATATATATATATGATATGTATGTATATACTTAATAACTGATTCAGTAGTTTGAGGTGGGTGGGTCCAGAATCTCAGGGAGAGGCTGTGTGATCTGAATTTTTATCAAACTTCCTGGGTGATTTGAATGGGTATCCTAAGGTCCCTTGGTATGCAGCCATTTGAATGTCAGATGAGAGATTTTTAATTAGTACTACAGGCAATGGGAAGCTATTGAAGGTTTTTAAAGCAGAAAAAGAAGGGTAATACTAAGGAGAGAGAGAAAGAACTAAGAAACAAGGAAGATGGGAGAGAAGTATCTTTGATCTGTTACATGTTGAGACTGAAACACCAGAAAAATGCTCCAAAGATGTCCAGCTCTCAGTTGGAAAAAAATGAATTGGAAGCTCTGTAATAAAGGTGAAGTTAGAGATGACAATTTTGAGATTTATTCTTTATCAGGAGATGCAAACTCAAATACCTCCAGAATGAAGGCAGGTAATGCAAATGAGGATTAAGTATAATTAAAAAAAACAGCATTCATCCTTAATAAATGGCATGTACCACTTTGTCTCAGCAGGGATGCAGTAGGTAAAGGTGGAGACTGTGGTGAGCTAGAGGACATACCCCCTGTCTTAGGGGCCAGTCATTGCCAAATAGAAGTGTGGGATCAGTGTTAACAGATCTTCTGGTTTTTAGAGAGAAACTATAGATATTTTCATTTTGACACTTTCTAATTATTAAATGTTCACAATGAATTTTTTAAGTGCTTAAACACTATACAGACAAAACCATTTGTATCTATGGTCAGCTTTGCCTTGGGGGGTTCTAATTTGTGACTTCTAAGCTGCACAGATGGGATTCAAGAGAGAGAGTTGAGTAAATTGAGAAGAAATCCAGGGGCTGCACTGTGAAGAACGACGGCCCTCCCAAGCACCCAAGCTTGCCTGGCGGTGAGCCCAGGGCTTAGAGAGACCCTGGTTCTTTTGGCCACTGGGTGTTTGGTGAGCTCCCATGTTGGTGGCAGCAAGTGAAGCCTGCACCTGCCACAGCTATTTCTGCTCATCAGCTGGAAATCATGTGGGTAGCCTCTGAGGTCCTGATACCTCCGGGGTTAGATGCCACCTTGGGGAGGGGCCTGCAGCCTTCACTCCACCACTCTGTATAGTCACTTTTATCCCAAACTGTGAAGATGCTCTCCATCCAGGAGTGTCTGAGTCCTGGCTGGAGCAGGCATCTTGTTTAACACATCTTAGACACCCACTTTGTATCAGGAAATTCTTCTGTTGTCTAATTTAAGTGCTTTTTGTACAATTTAATCTTTTTTTGCTTCTTCTATCTTCAGAGCAGGTGGTGGAATGGGTTACTCTTTAGCTTCCAGATTCTTCCTCAGCCTTCAATAGGGTCTCAAAAAGCCCCAGGCTGGGCCCGGTGGCTCACGCCTATAATCCCAGCACTTTGGGAGGCTGAGGAGGGCAGATCACGAGGTCAGGAGTTTCAGACCAGCCTGACCAACATGATGAAACCCCATCTCTACTAAAAATACACACACACACACACACACACACACACACACAAAAATAGCTGGACATGGTGGCATGCACCTGTAATCCCAGCTATTCAGGAGGCTGAGGCAGGAGAATCGTTTGATCCTGGGAGGTGAAGGTTGCAGTGAGCCGAGACCATGCCACTGCACTCCAGCCTGGGAGACAGAGCGAGACTCTGTCTCAAAAAAACAAAAAACAACAAACAAACAAACAAACAAAGTCCTATCTCAAAAAGTGTCCTCAGGGATGTAAAACTTGTTACCTGCAGATTAGAAAGCTGTTTGCTTACTGATATGTTAGCAAGCCTTCCTTCGGTCTAGATGGGTAGTTTTCTGCTTACCCTCAACCCTAACCGTCTTTGCATTATCTATTTCTGTACCTACTCTCAGTTCATTCTGGGGTGGAGGAAGGGGTTCAAACCAGAAATATTAAAAGTAGCTAGCATCCCCACCTTCCTGTAGTTCTCATTAGCAGGTTTTAGAGACAATCTTATCTTCTCCTCTTCTTAAATTCTCTTCTGATTCTAAAGAATGACTCCCAGACTGGCTGGCCTAGAACTGACCTTGAAAGGCTCAACTTTGTGAGAAAATGATAGGGAACCCACAAAGATGTCCCGATCATTACCCAACGATGCTTGCAAAGAGTTGTGATATATTTAGCAGTATTTCCACCCTGATTAGGAAGCAAGGAAGAGGCAGCTGGTCTTCCCCGGGTGATGTTTCTTATCAGCTCTGGGCAGCACAGTCAAGTTGTCACCAATGAGGTCTGTAAAGAGGAAAGATCAAATTAGTATTTGCACCAGCTACACTCAGACATACTCCACCAAAATGTACACTCTACCATAACACCCACATTTCACAAGACGACTTTCTTCAACAGATACCATTATATGTGCTTACTAACATAGTGAACACATATCCATATCCCCTGCTACCCACAAACATCAGAGCCCACATGCAATCTAAGTATGTATGCTCACTCAAATATACATACTAATACCTCCCTAACCACACCGACACACAGACCAACAAAAACTACACTCTGCATGGTGGAGAAATGACCTGATATTACCCTCCTACAATATCTCAGCCCAGCCACTGCCTGCCTCACTCAACCTCAGGTTTCTACTTGTACTCAGAAAATTGAGCCAACCAAGCCAAGTCCCCACAGGCCCAACAGGGCGCTGGGAAAGATAGAAATCACTTACAACGATCCAGTTGCTTCTGAGCTGGAAATGGAGAGCAGGGCTGCTTGCTAACCCCACAGACGGGGCCAGCACAGAGGCCTGAGGAGTGGGACCCACTTCTGCGTGGGAATATGGCCTGAAGAGAGCAGGTGGGTCAATCCTGAGTCGGCCACACAGGTGGGCTGTGCAAGTGGGCGAGATGAGCAACCAGGACTAGAGGAACCAATAGGTCTGAGGTCACATGGGACAGAAATTCTGGTCCAGATGAGGCATAAATGAAGTCCACCCTCACTTCCATCACCCCATTCCCCCTCTTCAGTGGGTGAAGTCACTGGTCAGCACAAGTCAACATTTAAAGTTCAAAATTCAACCCAAGACCCTTGGGTGGGAGTGGAGGGAGGTAGAGAAGAATGAGGAGGAAGAGGAGGAGGAAGGGCAGGAAGGGAGAAGGAGAAGCAGGAAGGACAGGTGGGGAGGGAGAGGAAACCCACTCTCCTTATCTTGCTGCTCAAACAGCACCTTGATTATACCAAGGAATGGGAAGCAACAGGCAACATGCAAAGAGAAAAAGCAGGGGTGATATCTTGACTTTTAGAGTTTCTAAGGATTCTGGTCCTAGCAATATAAGAGTAGTTTCAGGAAATTTCAAAAACAATTGGGACTGCTATAATGTATTCAGAAATTGATTGAGAACCTAAATCCAGAGTTGAGTACAATTACACTGTGTGTATATATATATTTTTTTTAAATTATTTTTTATTTTTTACTTTTTGAGATGGAGTCTCACTCTGTTGCCCAGGATGGAGTGCAATGTCGTGATCTCGGCTCACTGCAATCTCTGCCTCCCAGGTTCAAGCGATTCTCTTGCCTGAGCCTCTGGAGTAGCTGGGATTACGGGCATCCGCCACCACACCCAGCTAATTTTTTTTTTTTTTTTTTTTTTTTTTGTATTTTTAGTAGAGACTGGGTTTTGCCGTGTTGGCCAGGCTGGTCTCAAACTCCTGTCCTCAAGTGATCAGTCTGCCTGAGCCTCTGAAAGTCCTGGGATTACAGGTGTGAGCCACCACACCCGGCTACACTGTATATTGACTTGGGAACTTTGAATGTGAGATACATTAAGTTTCCTCTCCCTAGGCTTGTGTATAGAAAGAAAAGAGGAGAGGCTGGGCACAATGGCTCATGCCTGTAATCCCAGCACTTTGGGAAGCCAAGGTGGGTGGATCACGAGGTCAAGAGATCAAGACCATCCTGACCAACGTGATGAAACCCCACCTCTACTAAAAATACAAAAATAGCTGGGCATGGTGGTGCATGCCTGCAGTCCCAGCTACTCGGGAGGCTGAGGCAGGAGAATCGCTTGAGCCCGGGAGGCAGAGGTTGCAGTGAGCCAAGATCGCGCCACTGCACTCCAGCCTGATGACAGAGTGAGACCCTGTCTCAAAAAAAAAAAAAAAAAAAAAAAGAGAGAGCAGTGGGACTGCCTTCTGGTATTTATGGATCATCTCTGCCCTACACAAAGTTCACAAACTAATCACCAATGACGAGGCCAAGGCACACCCTGGGTAATGGTGGAGACGAGGGGTTCCAGCCTCCTGGCTCCTGTCCCATTCACTGCATCATCGCCTGCAATGACAGCTCTGTCGGACCACGGCCCATGCAACAGCAGCAGAGGGGCCCAACAGTCTAATGAAAAGGCCCCATACTTGAAGTCAGAAAATTTGGTCCCAGTCCTGGCTCTCTTGAGAATTCACTATGTGGCCTGGTGTGGGACAGAAAAATCTACATAAGGACAGAATTCTATTTTCTGAAGCAAAAAACAGTCGAGGGGCTACCATAAGATTTTTTTCAGCAGTTCAGTTGCAAGAGATGTTAGGCATCTCCTACAACTCACACCTGTCAAAGACATACCCAGGAAGATGTTCAGCGTTTTCACATTTAGGTGCTGAACAACCCTATATAGCTGTCTATATCTTGACCTATTTCCCTGACTTCCTTGGTGGTTGACCTTGGTCAGTTCCGGCCTTGCTGACACCTGGTCTCCATGGCTGGGTATATCTCTAAGTTATCTTGTTTCCAGGGTCAGCCCTGTTTCCTGTAACAAATAATTCTTTCCCCTCAGTGAGCAGAAGTAATGGCCTCATCTGGCCTGATCCAGCATTTGGGGAGAAGCCGGTGAAAGAGGCCATCTAAGAGATATGTTTAATGCCAAACTATTAGAATTTTGGGTCATTTTTATTTGTTATATGAAGCAGTAGAGCAAAATATTTGAATTCTGAATTGTTCCAGAAATGTGGGACATGTGAGCATAGTAACCTGTTTTCAATTAACTTGCAAGCTCTGGTTGAATCTCTAAAAAGATCACTAACAATACCAAATGATAGATTATGAATGCCCAAAGAATGGTATGGATGACTAACTCAGCCTCGAGAGAATGGTCAGCATAGGTTTTCAAGGTGGAAGACCAAGATTACACTGTACCTTCAGTAGTGTGAGAGATTGAGGCAGGGGTGGGGCGTGGTATAGACAATGATGTATGCAGGAGATAAGGACATGAGCCACGGAGCAGCAGGGTCACGCATGTTCAGGCATGCATGGAATGGGGACCACGTTACAGGGCAGAGATGGGGATCATGGGCAAGCTGTTGAGGGATCCAGGCTGTAGATTTGCTGATACTTAGAGGGCAGTGAGAAGAGTGACCCTGGAGCACAAAGTAGCAGCAACCTAAAAAGGCAGATGGGGCTAAATTATGAAGGGTCTTAAACATTAGGCAAAGGAGTCTGGACTTGATTTAGTAGACGAATGGGGGAGGGGATGTTTCAGAATGACCTGAGCAAGAGAAGAGCTAGGGAATGAAGTCTTTTAGGAAGGGAACTCCACTAACAGTGGGAAGGGTGGTCTGGGGATGGGACTGGATAGAATCCACTGCAACCATCTAGATAGTAAGAAGCAGCCGATTTGGGGACTGGATTTAGGGAGCAAAGTACAAGGAGGGGCTGACCTTTCTGGACGGAGTGACTGGGAAATGATGGTATCGCTGACAGAAATGGAGATCAAGAGCTTTGGAGAGACACTGGGCTTCGGCTGACATTGAGGTGGTGGCTGGACATCTGAGGGAGAGGACAGAGCCGGTGGGAACAGGAGCAGGATGGAAAGACAGGAGGACAGACTATGCAGATGAGAAAAGCCACTGTAAAACAGTAAACATCAAGACAGGCTACATGCATAGGACCTCTCCAAGGAAAGGCAGCCTAGAGAAAAGGGAGGAGGACTGAGGAGACATAGTGCGGGGAACGGGGCACGAAGGGATCCAGGGGCAGCACAGCCAGACAGGGGGGTGGAGAAGCCTGGGGCACAAGGAAAAAAGACAGGGACACGGCTTCCAGAAGGTGGTCAGAGGGCTCAGAGTCCAAGGAAAATAGGAATTTACAGAGGCCACTGGGTTTTAGTCACCTTACAAACACGGCATCTGTATGCCAGACCCTGGGCCAGGCTTCACGGTGTTGGGTAGAAGTTATCCTCATTCAGCAGACATCTACCGAGTGCCTGTGATGGTGGCGGTCCCTGAGTGTGGAAGAGGGAGACTGAGGCCAGATTCTTTCTCGAGAAGGTCCAAACCACAATGAGGAAGGAAGACGGCTGGGGGAAGGAGGGAGTGGACGGAAAAATACGTACAGTTGAGAGCAGACCACTAATTCAAAAAAATTAGCACTTAAGGAAAGTGAGAACTAGAAAAATAAGTTGAGAAGACAAAAGTCTTGCAACACACCCCCTACCCCTACCCACCAGAAAACTTAGACTTGAATGGTTCTCAGCAAGAGAAAAGACATTGCTGTAGAATGGAACTTGTTGTGGGAGGTGGGATTACCACGGAAATAAATAGAAGACAGCCTCCCTTTCCAAAGAGCCAAAAGGAACCCATTTCGTCTAGTTAAGAGACGAGGCAAAGCGGTAAAATGGTGACAACACGTCCTGGTGAGTGGTTCTGACCGTGAATGGTTGGAAAATGCTGTGGGAATCAGAAAGGGGAACCGTCTGGGAGAGGTGGTGTCACCGAAGGCTTCTCGGAGGAGGTGGCCTCTAACTCGAGCCTTAAAAATGGGCGAAGAGGCGAGGCCGGGGCCTGCCCCGCGCGGAGTACTCGGGAGCCGCCTCCCTCCTTTCAGAGCTCTCAGTCCCGTCCCCGGGCCTCGCTTTCTCCTCTCGCCTCGCTCAGCTCAGCCGGGCGCAGGTTCCTAGCACTGACGACAGCGAGCGATGACCTCAGCGCCGCCAAGGCTGCGAGGGCGGGGGCTGGGGTGGCGGGGGCGGGGAAAAGCGCCGGAGCGGGGCCGAGCGGAGCGGCTCCGGGCCCCGCCCCCATCCTCTGGCCGCGACCAATGAGCGCCGCCGCCGGCTGCCCCCCTACCTCCCTGGACCTCCTGAAAAACGCTGCCCGGGGAAAGTCCGGGCAGAGCCCGAGCAGCGGCCAGGGTAACGCTGTCTTGTGGACCCGCACTTCCCACCCGAGACCTCTCACTGAGCCCGAGCCGCGCGCGACATGAGCCACGGGAAGGGAACCGACATGCTCCCGGAGATCGCCGCCGCCGTGGGCTTCCTCTCCAGCCTCCTGAGGACCCGGGGCTGCGTGAGCGAGCAGAGGCTTAAGGTCTTCAGCGGGGCGCTCCAGGAGGCACTCACAGGTGAGCGCATGCCGAGGGGCCTGGCGCCACCGGGGGTCGGCCCCATCCCTGCCAGGGCCGTCTTTCTTCTACTCCTGCGGCAGGGTGACCCACGGGAGCAGCTTTGGGACTCGGTGGCCCTCCTCCGACCCCCGGGGCGGCCCGCAGTCCCCAGTTTCCTGGGTCCTCCTCCCCAGCCCTGTGCTCGGGTCTCGGCCGTGGCGGTTCTGATGGGGCGCGCCCCTCTACGCTCTCGGAGGCGCAGACCCTGGTCCTGGAGTGCCAGCCCGAGTCCCCAGCTTATGCCCCTGTCTCATTACGGGCTCGTCTCCCTCGCTGGACCCTCGAGATCTTAAGACCCTCGATGGATGTTGTTGCGGGCCGCCCGGTCGGCCGAGGGGTCCCGATGAGGGAAGAAGGTGCAGTCGAGCCTTTTCAACAATTTGGAGTCCCAGTGCGGTTCTTCCTGCCGGTCGGGGTGCGCTGTGCCTGGGGTAGTCCACTGGTTGCTGACTGGCTTCAAGTTGGAATTTGGGCCCCCTTTGTGTTATCTTTGGTTCCCCTTAGCCATCTGCCACCTATTGTGGTAGGGAGGAGAGCCTCGTAGCTCGTGACCCTGCCGTGCGGGCCTTCAAGTTGGGAGGTGAAGAGATAAGCAGCCCGCTCGCTGGCTGGGGAGAGACCTCTCTCCCAGCTGTTTCTAGCTGGTTACTGTCAGTTTTGGGAAGCGATAGCCATCTCGGAACGCACCCACACAGACCCTGCCTTCTGAGGAAAACAGATGTTTCATCAAAACAACCCAGTTTTCACTCCCTTAGGCACTGCTAAGGAAGGTTCTCTGACTCTTCTGAAGGAAGCAGAGGGAACACAGGGTGGGAGGTCCAGTGACTTGCTGTGGACCCAACAATGTTGGCAGCCTTCCTGGCCCTGAAACTTCAGCTCACAGGTCTCCAGAGGCCCTGCCTGGACATGCCAGTCCCAGTCACACCCTTCCCTTGCTTTGGGGGTGTGCCAAAAGCAATACACTGGCCACTAGAGAGTACCCTAGAGCTCTAGAATCCCCTCCCAACACGCACACACACACACACACACACTCTCTCTCTCACACACACACACTCAGTCACACACACACACACACACACACACACTCTCTCACATACACTTGTCCTGGAAGCAGGAAAGTGGATCTTTCCAGCTTCCATAAAATTTTCTCTGCTAAGTGGAAAGAGGGTCCTAGAACTCAGAGGAATCCACCTCCCTTACTTAAAGGGCCCCTTTCTCTCCTCCTGTCCCTTGACCCTCCACCCCGCCCTATGGTAGTATCCATGGCCTAGCTGCTCTAACCAGGGCATCTGCCCCTGGTCCTGTCTCCACAGAGCACTACAAACACCACTGGTTTCCCGAAAAGCCGTCCAAGGGCTCCGGCTACCGCTGCATTCGCATCAACCACAAGATGGACCCCATCATCAGCAGGGTGGCCAGCCAGATCGGACTCAGCCAGCCCCAGCTGCACCAGCTGCTGCCCAGCGAGCTGACCCTGTGGGTGGACCCCTATGAGGTGTCCTACCGCATTGGGGAGGACGGCTCCATCTGCGTCTTGTACGAGGAGGCCCCACTGGCCGCCTCCTGTGGGCTCCTCACCTGCAAGAACCAAGTGCTGCTGGGCCGGAGCAGCCCCTCCAAGAACTACGTGATGGCAGTCTCCAGCTAGGCCCTTCCGCCCCCGCCCTGGGCGCCGCCGTGCTCATGCTGCCGTGACAACAGGCCACCACATACCTCAACCTGGGGAACTGTATTTTTAAATGAAGAGCTATTTATATATATTATTTTTTTTTAAGAAAGGAGGAAAAGAAACCAAAAGTTTTTTTTAAGAAAAAAAATCCTTCAAGGGAGCTGCTTGGAAGTGGCCTCCCCAGGTGCCTTTGGAGAGAACTGTTGCGTGCTTGAGTCTGTGAGCCAGTGTCTGCCTATAGGAGGGGGAGCTGTTAGGGGGTAGACCTAGCCAAGGAGAAGTGGGAGACGTTTGGCTAGCACCCCAGGAAGATGTGAGAGGGAGCAAGCAAGGTTAGCAACTGTGAACAGAGAGGTCGGGATTTGCCCTGGGGGAGGAAGAGAGGCCAAGTTCAGAGCTCTCTGTCTCCCCCAGCCAGACACCTGCATCCCTGGCTCCTCTATTACTCAGGGGCATTCATGCCTGGACTTAAACAATACTATGTTATCTTTTCTTTTATTTTTCTAATGAGGTCCTGGGCAGAGAGTGAAAAGGCCTCTCCTGATTCCTACTGTCCTAAGCTGCTTTTCTTGAAATCATGACTTGTTTCTAATTCTACCCTCAGGGGCCTGTAGATGTTGCTTTCCAGCCAGGAATCTAAAGCTTTGGGTTTTCTGAGGGGGGGGAGGAGGGAACTGGAGGTTATTGGGGTTAGGATGGAAGGGAACTCTGCACAAAACCTTTGCTTTGCTAGTGCTGCTTTGTGTGTATGTGTGGCAAATAATTTGGGGGTGATTTGCAATGAAATTTTGGGACCCAAAGAGTATCCACTGGGGATGTTTTTTGGCCAAAACTCTTCCTTTTGGAACCACATGAAAGTCTTGATGCTGCTGCCATGATCCCTTTGAGAGGTGGCTCAAAAGCTACAGGGAACTCCAGGTCCTTTATTACTGCCTTCTTTTCAAAAGCACAACTCTCCTCTAACCCTCCCCTCCCCCTTCCCTTCTGGTCGGGTCATAGAGCTACCGTATTTTCTAGGACAAGAGTTCTCAGTCACTGTGCAATATGCCCCCTGGGTCCCAGGAGGGTCTGGAGGAAAACTGGCTATCAGAACCTCCTGATGCCCTGGTGGGCTTAGGGAACCATCTCTCCTGCTCTCCTTGGGATGATGGCTGGCTAGTCAGCCTTGCATGTATTCCTTGGCTGAATGGGAGAGTGCCCCATGTTCTGCAAGACTACTTGGTATTCTTGTAGGGCCGACACTAAATAAAAGCCAAACCTTGGGCACTGTTTTTTCTCCCTGGTGCTCAGAGCACCTGTGGGAAAGGTTGCTGTCTGTCTCAGTACAATCCAAATTTGTCGTAGACTTGTGCAATATATACTGTTGTGGGTTGGAGAAAAGTGGAAAGCTACACTGGGAAGAAACTCCCTTCCTTCAATTTCTCAGTGACATTGATGAGGGGTCCTCAAAAGACCTCGAGTTTCCCAAACCGAATCACCTTAAGAAGGACAGGGCTAGGGCATTTGGCCAGGATGGCCACCCTCCTGCTGTTGCCCCTTAGTGAGGAATCTTCACCCCACTTCCTCTACCCCCAGGTTCTCCTCCCCACAGCCAGTCCCCTTTCCTGGATTTCTAAACTGCTCAATTTTGACTCAAAGGTGCTATTTACCAAACACTCTCCCTACCCATTCCTGCCAGCTCTGCCTCCTTTTCAACTCTCCACATTTTGTATTGCCTTCCCAGACCTGCTTCCAGTCTTTATTGCTTTAAAGTTCACTTTGGGCCCACAGACCCAAGAGCTAATTTTCTGGTTTGTGGGTTGAAACAAAGCTGTGAATCACTGCAGGCTGTGTTCTTGCATCTTGTCTGCAAACAGGTCCCTGCCTTTTTAGAAGCAGCCTCATGGTCTCATGCTTAATCTTGTCTCTCTTCTCTTCTTTATGATGTTCACTTTAAAAACAACAAAACCCCTGAGCTGGACTGTTGAGCAGGCCTGTCTCTCCTATTAAGTAAAAATAAATAGTAGTAGTATGTTTGTAAGCTATTCTGACAGAAAAGACAAAGGTTACTAATTGTATGATAGTGTTTTTATATGGAAGAATGTACAGCTTATGGACAAATGTACACCTTTTTGTTACTTTAATAAAAATGTAGTAGGATAAACTTGTGTGGTGTAGAGAAGTTAAAATCCTCACGTTGTACATTTGTGTTTCCCTTTCAGATCCAAATCCTTTCTTTGTGTTTAATAGTATTTCTCCTCACTTGCACTCAGACAATCTATAGCATGTGGGTGGTATAAAAGAAAAATCTGGTTGTATGGCTGGGCCATTTCCAAGCATCCCCTCTTTCCTGGAAAGTAGCTCCTTACTTCCCTCCGTTTTGTTTGTTTGTTTGTTTGTTTTGAGACAGTTTTGTCACTCAGGCTGGAGTGCAGTGGTGCAATCTCAGCTCATTGCAACCTCTGCCTCCTGGGCTCAAATAATTCTCCCACCTCTGCCTCTTGAGTAGCTGAGATTGCAGGCATGTGCCATCAGGCCCAGCTGATTTTTGTATTTTTTGTAGGGACGGGGTTTTGCCATGTTGTCCAGGCTGGTCTCAAACTCCTAAGTTCAAGTGATCCCCCTGCCTCTGCCTCCGAAAGTGCTGGGATTACAGGCGTGAGCCACCGCGCCCAACCTACTTCCACCTTTAATGAGGATTCTAATTTCCCTGTGAAGATGCTAGAAGTAACAGGGTTCTAGTCTGAACATTCCCTAGTCTAGCCAGATCTCCATCTTATGCATCTTGTTTTTGATAGTCGTTCATTTCATTCATTCATTCATTCAGTCAGTTATTCATTTAGCAAGCATGTATTGTCAGTAAGTGCTAGGCACTGAACTTATTAAAAATCCTTGAGACACAGCCTGTCTCACAGACCAGGGTTTGGTAAGCAGCGGGTAATGAACTCCTTCCCAGGCTAAGGCAGGATTGTTGGCAATTCCCAGAAAAGGTGCTCTTGTCATCTCTGGGGCTGTCATTTGCTATCCACCATACTTGTCTTGTTAGACAAGAGCAGCTAGGCCTCAGGATCTATGCACTGGAGCTGAATGCCAATGCTACAGGTTAGCTAGAGAGCAGCTACTTCTGACAGCAAACACTGGAGTGAGAGCCAAAAGTTTGTTACCAATTTGTAACTCCCTTTGGTTACATGCAAGGAAATAACAGTTTTTATCTTCCCTGACTTTTGAGTTCTTTCCATGAGATTTTTGACACAAGCCCAGAGTTTCCCACTGAGGGCAAGTACATTCCCAGCCTGGTCTAGTTTTTTCTTGGCTGTAGGTGAGCTGTATTTATTTGTTTATTTATTTATTTCTTTTCTTTTCTTTTTTGAGACGTAGTCTCACTCGCTCTTGTCGTCCAGGCTGGAGTGCAGTAGTACGATCTTGGCTCACTGCAACCTCCGCCTTCCGGGTTCAAGTGATTCTCCTGCCTCAGCCTCTGGAGTAGCTGGGATTACAGATGCCTGCCACCATGCCTGGCTAATTTTTGTACTTTTAGTAGAGACGGGGTTTCACCATGTTAGCCAGGATGGTCTCGAACTCCTGACCTGAGGTGATCCACCCTCCTCGGCCTCCCAAAGTGCTGGGATTACAGGTGTGAGCCACCGCAGCTGGCGGTGACCTGTATTTAAACTAAACTTTACACATGTTGCTTCATATACAGTGACAACTCCCCCAACTTCATTTCTTACCTCCATGACCTTTATCAACAAACATACAGTTTTCCCTAGATGTGCTATGTTGGAAGTAGCCCAGGGAGGCTGTGTGTGCTATGCCTGTGTTGAGTGAGGAGGGTAGGGGAGCCAGGGATGGGGTTAGGGAAGGCCAGGTCATCTGTATCATAAATAGAATTTGGTTAAGACTCATTGTATCAAGGGGTTGTTACTGAAAGGAGTAGTCCCATTTTTATTTGTAGCTTCTGAAATAAATGTCCTAGACACTTGTTTAAAAAGACCTACTTTTTTGGATGTAAGGACAGGGTTAGTTAGGGTTGAGGAATTTTTGCCCACCCTCTTTTGAGTGTATGGTACAAAGTCAGCATCTATCTTCCTGATTCCTAAAAGGCCTAGCTCATGAAGGATATTTCCTTGTTTAGTGGAAAGCCTGAAATTCGGGGAAGGTTGTCTGGAGACTGAGGGGACCCTTCACCCACGTGTGTCTTCAAGTCAGGGAAGCCACAGCATGGCAGATTCACCTCAGGGCCACTCTCGGCTGTTGGTAAACTAGTAGTCCCTCAATTTACATGAGAGGGTTCTGTGGTCAAGCAATGTGTTTTCTTTTTTGATATGAACCAATTTCAGTAGAACTGGAGCATACCCATTGGCTACCTGGGGTTACAGGGGCTCTGGCCTGAAATTGCTTGAAGAGTTGCAGTTGGTGGCTTTCATGTGTTCAGGGACTAGGCATTGGTTGGTCTGTTCTGCTTCCATCTTCTCCACTTGGTAAGCAGTGCCAGCCTGGGAGACCTGTGGTCAGTCAGCTGTTTTTGAATGATAATGCACCTCCCCAGAGAGTGTAGACAAGGCTCTGCATGCTGCAGATTAAGAGCCCATCCTGGATCCTGATAAGGAGTTCTGGGTGGAGGAGTCCTTGGTGCTGCAACAAACAAGTCCCAGGAGGAAGAAACCCACTTCTGTAGGCCTGACTCCTGTAAGGAGCCTTTGGTAAGGAAGGTGAGGACTCAGGTGTCCTGGCTTCCAGGCCAACACAGCATCCCTGGCCCAACAAAGATTGGTGCAACAGAAAGAGTTCTGGACTGGGAGGAAGAATGTATGGGTTGTGGTCCTGGTACTTCTTAACTAGCCATGTGAGTCTGGACAAGCTCCTCAGCTTTTCTGTCTTAAAAATTAGGGAGTTGGCTGGGTGCAGTGGCTCATGCCTGTAATCCCAGCACTTTGGGAGGCCGAGGCAGATGGATCACTTGAGGCCAAGAGCTCAAGACCAGCCTGGCCAACATGGTGAAACCCTGTCTCTACTAAAAATACAAAAATTAGTCAGGTGTAGTGGTGCGTGCCTGTAGTCCCAGCTACTTGGGAGGCTGAGGCAACAGAATCACTTGAACCCGGGAGGCAGAGGTTGTAGTAGCCGAGATTGAGCCACTGCACTGTAGCCTGGGCGACAAAGCAAGACTCCGTCTTAAAAAACAAAAAAAAAAAACTGGGAATGGTGGCTCATGCCTGTAATCTCAGCATTTTGGGAGGCTGAGGTGGGCGAATCACGAGGTCAGGAGTTCGAGACCAGCCCGGCCAACATGGTGAAACCCCGTCTCTACTAAAAATACAAAAAATTAGCTGGGCATAGTGGCGGGTGCATGTAATCCCAGCTACTTGAGGCAGGAGAATCACTTGAACCCGGGAGGCCAAGGTTGCAGTAAGCCAAGATTGCGCCACTGCACTCACTCCAGCCCGGGCAACAGAGTGAGACGCCGTTTAAAAAAAAAAAAAAAAAAAAAAATTAGAGTTTTGGATTAAATGACCTACGTTCTTTTCTTTGGCTATTTATTTATTTATTTATTTATTGAGACAAGGTTGCACTCTGTTGCTCAGGCTGTAGTATAGTGGTATGATCACAGCTCACTGCGGCCTTCATCTCCGAGGCTCAGGTGATCCCCCTGCCTCAGCTTCCCAAGTAGCTGGGACTACAGGTGTGAGCCACCTCTCCTGGCTAATTTTTTGTTATTTTTTTTAGAGATGGGGTCTTGCTATGTTGCCTGGGCTGGTCTCAAACTCCTGGCGTCAAGTAATCCTCCTGTCTTAGCCTCCCAAACTGCTGGGATTACGGTTCTTGCCCAGCCTTTTTCAGCTTTTGATTCTAAATCATCCATCCCCATTATACTGCCAATCACTGGGGGGGCAAATTAGCACCATTATTATCATTATTTTCAATTAGTTGAACTGAAAGGTAAGGTAATTTGGGCTGAGAAGTACAGTAATTAATAATCTTTTGCTTGGGTCAGACTCCTGCCTGTTAAGGTTTCAGTTTGCAAACACTGTGAAGCAGTACTACAAAGAGGTTAGGAGCTCAGGCTCTGGTGTTAGGCTCCCTAGGGAGGTTTAATCTCAGCTCTACCACCCACCTATCCACTGTGCAACCTGGTGGCTAGTGACTTTAGCCAAGCCTCAATTTCCCCCTTTGTAAAATGGAATGAAGAATATAACCAACTTAAAAATGTTGTTACGAAGATTAAATGAGAGCCATAATCTACTTATAATTGTCCTGGCACAGGTAAGTACTCGATAAAAAGAGAATACTTGTTCTTTCTTTCTTTTTCTTTTCTTTTCTTTTTTTTTTTTTTGAAACAGAGTTTCGTTCTTGTTGCTCAGGCTGGAGTGCAGTGGCATGATCTCTGGTCACTGCAACCTCTGCCACCTCGGTTCAAGAGATTCTCCTGCCTCACATGGGCAAGGACTTCATGACCAAAACACAAAAAGCAATGGCAACAAAAACCAAAATAGACAAATGGGATCTAATTAAACTAAAGAGCTTCTGCACAGCGAAAGAAACTACCATCAGAGTGAACAGGCAACCTACAGAATGGGAGAAAATTTTTGCAATCTACTCATGTGACAAAGGGCTAATATCCAGAATCTACAAAGAACTCAAACAAATTTACAAGAAAAAACCCCATCAAAAAGTGGGCAAAGGATATGAACAGACACGTCTCAAAAGAAGACATTTATGCAGCCAACAGACACATAAAAAAATGCTCATTATCACTGGTCATCAGAGAAATGGAAATCAAAACCACAATGAGATACCATCTCATGCCAGTTAGAATGGCAATCATAAAGTCAGGAAACAACAGATGCTGGAGAGGATGTGGAGAAATAGGAATGCTTTTGCACTGTTGGTGGGAGTGTAAATTAGTTCAACCATTGTGGAAGACAGTGTGGCGATTCCTCAAGGATCTAGAACTAGAATTACCATTTGACCCAGCAATCCCACTACTGGGTATATACCCAAAGGATTATAAATCATGCTACTATAAAGACACATGCACATGTATGTTTATTGCGGCACTGTTCACAATAGCAAAGACTTGGAACCAACCCAAATGTGCATCAATGATAGACTGGATTAAGAAAATGTGGCACATATACACCATGGAATACTATGCAGCCATAAAAAAGGATGAATTCATGTCCTTTGCAGAGACATGGATGAAGCTGGGAACTATCATTCTCAGCAAACTGTCACAAGGACAGGAAGCCAAACACCGCATGTTCTCACTCATAGGTGGGAACTGAACAATGAGATCACTTGGACACAGGGTAGGGAACATCACACACTGGGGCCTGTCAGGGGGTGGGGGACTGGGGGAGGGATAGCATTAGGAAAAATACCTAATGTAAAAGATGAGTTGATGGGTGCAGCAAACCAACATAGCACATGTATACTTATATAACAAACCTGCACGTTGTGCACATGTACCCTAGAACTTAAAGTATAATAATAAAAAAAAACCTTAAAAAAAAAAGAGAGATTCTCCTGCCTCAGCCTCCTGAATAGCTGGGATTACAGGTGCTGCAACTATGCCCAGCTAATTTTTATATTTTAAGTAGAGATGGGGTTTCACCATGTTGGCCAGGCTGGAATCGAACTCCTGACTCAGGTAATCCACCCACCTCAGCCTCCCAAAGTGCTAGGATTACAGGCGTGAGCCACCATGCCCGGCCTGAGAATAGAAATAACCCCATCTCCTTAAGGACTCTGAAGAGGGTCCTAAAGTGAAAGATCCTAAAATGAAGAAGAACACTCTGGCATACTTCTAACTGGAAGGAAATCATTCTTAAAATCATAGCACCTACTAGTACCTTCAAGAATGGCTACAGCTGGCTGAGTATGGTGGCTCACGCCTGTAATCCTAGCACTTTGGGAGGCCAAGGCTGATGGATCATGAGGTCAGGAGGTCGAGACCAGCCTGATCAACATGGTGAAACCCCGTCTCTACTAAAAATACAAAAATTAGCTGGGTGGTGGCACGCACCTGTCATCCCAGCTACTCAGGAGGCTGAGGCAGGAGAATCTCTTGAACCTGGGAGGTGGAGGTTGCAGTGAGCTGAGACCTCACCAGTGCACTCCAGCCTGGACGACAGAGTGAGACTCCATCTCAAAAAAAAAAAAAAGAAAGAAAAAAAGAATGGCTACAGATAACACCATCCGAGCAGCCTGTGGCCTCTCCCCTACAAAGATGATTTTCAATCCTTTGTTTAAAAACATGCACAGGGCCAGGCGTGGTGACTCATGACTGTAATCCCAGCACTTTGGGATGCCGAGGCCAGCGGATCACAAGGTCAGGAGTTTGAGACCAGCCTGGCCAAAATGGTGAAATCCCGTCTCTAATAAAAATACAAAAATTAGCCGGGCGTGGTGGCGCATGCCTAATCATCCCAGCTACTCAGGAGGCTGAGGCAGGAGAATTGCTTGAACCTGGGAGGAGGAGGTTGCAGGGAGCTGAGATCGTACCACTGCACTCCAGCTTGGGTAACAGAGCAAGACTCCGTCTCGAAAATAAAAAAAAAAGAAAAATTAAAAATTAAAAAAAACATGCACAGGCCAGGCATGGAGGCTCACGCCTATAATCCCAGCATTTTGGGAGGCCATGACAGGTGGATTACTTGAGCCCAGGAGTTTGAGACCAGCCCAGGCAACATAGTGAGACGACATCTCTACAAATAATACAAATAATAAAAATAAAAAACATGCACAGCCCAGGCTGTGGCAAAGAAAATATGCACAATACAAAAGCCCTTCCTGGGTCATATGTAGCCTACAGTAGGGACTCTAAAAGTACCTGCTGAATTAATGATTGATAACTGAATGAACTCATGTCTGACCTCTGTCATTCTTGCAGAAATGTACGGTATCCTTGCTAGGCATCTGACCTCGGTGGGCCACGGGGCAACTTTGACCCATTGGCTCCACTGGTCTGCTTGTGGATTAATACCAAACTGGGCTATGTGCTCATTTACACACAAAGTGGATGGGGAAAGTTTTCTAATAGCAGCTTTACTTACCTCCACTCAGCCCATCTGTGGAGTACACCCACAGGTTCTCCCTTCCCAGAAGAGAAATAAATGGAGAAGCTAAGAAGGGCAGGGCCAAGCTCTCTGGCTTTTTCTCCACACCACTTCTTTGCAGAGCTGGCAAGAAAAACGTTTGAGCTCAGTCTAAGAGGCTACCAGGGCCCTGGATAAGGATCTTATACAAACGAGTATGCCCTGGATACGCAGCCAATCCTTTCCCCTGATGTGAGCCTGGTTCTCTGGGCCCCAGCAGCTTCAAGCCATTTTGTTCCCATTGGCTCTGCCATTCTCCACCCTCATTCCTATAAACAAGAATGAACCTTGATTCAACTCTTGTCCAGTAAACTGCACAGGCTGCCTAGAGCATATCAGATAAGAAGAGGTAATAGCTGGGTGAGTTTGGAGCAAGAACTGCTTTACTTAACATCACTATCAGGGAAGGGCCATTTAAAATTCGATGGGCAGGGGAGTGAGGGTGGGACCAGGCAGTAGATAAGTGAGGCTGGCTGGACAAAAGCCATGGTAAACTTGAGGAGTGAGCTCAAACCTTGTCTGAACAGAGCCTCTGTTCCTTAGCTTCAGTCCACTGCAATCATGAGGCCAGTGATTTCAGATATGGTAATTTTCAAGAGCAGCCTGAAATGTAGATGTTTATTTGACATTTCCCTAAACTCTAATCATGGCAACTAATTTTTTGAAAGTGCTAAAGGCTGTTTTTTTAAAAGTACATATCTGCATGTGCTCTCAACTTGTGGCCTATGATGTACCTGGGGCCACCTGGGAATGGGATGTAGGGGTTTTCAACCCTATCCCCCAAGCTAGGAGTGAGTCTCTGCATTGAGGACCTCAGTGGAAGGCTGTCCCTATGGCCACAATCTCTAAGAAGGAGCATTCTGGCATGTTCCTGATAGAAATGAGGGCACACAAGGGGCCTCTTCACCCCTAAAATTAGATAAAAAGCAGCGCTCCCCACCTTCAACTGGTGGTACCCGTTAAACTTGTGCTTGGGACGGCAGCCTCCAGGCTTTTGCTCAAGGAATGCCCTGTCCCCTTCCTTTCCACCTACTTTAGCCAGGTTCACTCACGTTTTTAAGTTCACACTTTTCCAATGTTCACTGTTCAGTGTTCACACTTTCAAGTTCACAGTTTTTCAGTGACATCTCTCCTTCACAGACTGGGCTACATGGCCTTCCCCTGAGTTCCCATGATGTTCGGTTTTATAACCCTGAATTTATAGCTAGAATGTAGACTAGAGACCTTGCCTGAACAGTGTCTGGTACTTAGTAGGTATTAGTGAATACTGGTTGAACAAATGAATGTCAAAGTTGCCAAGAGTGGAGGCTAGTGGATGAAAGGAATTTAGATCAGGGGTGGAAGAAAAAAAATTAAGCCCATTCAGCAATTTTGAGCTGGGACTCCCTAGGAACCTGTGATTGCACCTTAAGAAAACTTGGTCCTTTGAATCTTGCAGGCTTTTAGGTCTTTAAACACCTCTTATTGAAATGTAAATGTCACTTAAATAGGGGTGTTCACACCTTAAATCATAATGTGAGAGAGCCTTCGTTATCAATTAACTCCCTAAATGGATTTACCCAAAAGGTAACAACCTGGAGAGAAGAAATCTGGGCTGATGCCAGGAAAGGACTCTGGCCCCAGTGGCAGGAGAGGGAGAATAGATTCCACAGCTACTAAACGCTGATTTCTATCCAGAGAAATCCTTCCTAGTGTCTACTTTGGAGGCTGGCTGGGGGCTCACAGAAATGGCACTGGGGTAGGAGTTGTTAGGAAATAGGGGGCCTAGCTTCAGGGCTGACAGTAACTTGTAATAGAAGTCTTCGATATCTTGAACAAGTCCCTTCTCCACTCTGAGCCTCAGTTTTTGTCTTCCTTCTTCCTTTCTTTCTTCCTTTCCTTCTCTTTCTTTCTTTTTCTTTCCTTCCTTCCTTCCTTCCTTCCTTCCTTCCTTCCTTCCTTCCTTCCTTTCTTTCTTTCTTTCCCTTCCTTCCTTCCTTCCTTCCTTCCTTCCTTCCTTCCTTCCTTCCTTCCTCTCCTCCTTCTTCTTCTTCTTCTTCTTCTTCTTCTTCTTCTTCTTCTTCTTCTTCTTCTTCTTCTTCTTCTTCTTCTTCTTCTTCTTTCTTTCTTTCTTTCTTTTTGGAAAGTGTTTAGTTTATAAATCATCTTGTGAAAAATCCACAATGGCTGCAGCCTTGCACCACCTTTTCTCCTTCATGAGCCTCAGTTTTCCTATCTGTAAAATGAGTCACCTGTGCTAAATTATCTCTTACCATTCTATTTTTGTTTCCATATGGAACAGGAAAAAAAAAACAACCTATTTCTTCTGCTCTATTTCCTGCCGGCACATAACCCAGGTCTTGTCCTCGTAACATTCATACAACAGCCTCCTGCCCTCCCTGCCCTACCACCGGACTGACCATCATCCTAGCACAACGCAAACTCTATTTTCTTTTTTTTTTCCCAATTTTTTTATTTATAAAAATACGGAATGCTTCACAAATTTGTGTGTCATCCTTGCGCAGGAGCCATGCTAATCTCCGTATCGTTCCAATTTTAGTATATGTGCTGCCGAAGCGAGCATGCAAACTCTATTTTCATCATGCCATTCCCTTCCTGCAGACTTTCTTTGCCATTCTGTATTCCTAAGATGGGAATCCCAGGCTCTCTCAGTCTTTCCAACCCCAAACTCCTTGTGCAGTAGCCCAACCAGGCCAGAGCCCCTCACCGAATTCTCTCCTGCTCACCTTTCCTTGCAGCTCTGCTGACATCTGCAAGTTTCTGTACTCTGCCAATTGATGTGGCACAAATCACTTTCTTCTAGGATGTGAGCACCTACTGTGTGCTGAACACTCACTATTGCCAGGGACTCCGCCTGGTATTTTACACACAGTATCTCTACTGTTTTTTTGAATGCAGTCTCTGAGATCTTATGACCTCAGATTCACGGATGAAGAAAGCAAGGCACCAGTAACTAGAAGAGGGCAGTGGTGGAAATGGGTTTAAAACCTATGTGCGCCTGTCTCCAGCATCAATGCTGTTTTCCCTTACCACTGCCTCTTCAGGATGCCTTCCCTGAATAATTCCACTTGTCCTCTATATACATTCTTACCTCAGGGGTTTCCAGCATTCATGCATATGGTTTAAAACTGCTCACATCTTTATGACATATTTCTTACTTCAGAACTCCTTAAGGATGTATACACATAGTTTATTACTGTTCACACTTTTATAGCAAACACAGTCAGCACATTGCTCTGTGTGTGTGTGTGTGTGGGTGTCTGTGTGTGATGGAGTCTCGCTCCTTCACCCAGGCTGGAGTGCAGTGGTGTGATCTTGGTTCACTGCAACCTCTGCCTCCCCAGTTCAAGCCATTCTCCTGCCTCAGCCTCCCAAGTAGCTGGGATTACAGGCACGTGCCATCACACCGGGCTAACTTTTGTATTTTTAGTAGAGACAGAGCTTCAACACAATGGCCAGGTTGGTCTCAAACTCCTGACCTCAAGTGATCTGCTGGCCTCGGCCTCCCAAAGTGCTGGGATTACAGGCGTGAGCCACCGGGCCCGGCAGCACATTGCTTTGAGTTGACGTCTGGTGGCTCTGCAAGCCCTTCTCCCCTCTCCAACTGTCGTCACTCACACCTCCATGGCAGGAATCATTTCTATTTCCTTTTTCACCTCCATGTGCTTGTCTACCATTCTGCACGGAGCAGGCCTAAGTACACTGACCATTGGATGACAGATACGGGTTGAACAAACTACAGTGTGGTCCTCAGGTAGCTGTGGGGCAAGTGTCCCCTCCTCACCACCCCTCCATCCTCCCACTCTAAACCTAAAAGGAAAAGTGCTCTATTTGGGAGTCTCCTAAGAGGGAGTGAAGGAGCTCTGTAAGCTAAGCCAGCCTGCATACATGGTTCCCGGCACAAAGTCTACACACCAGTGAACACGTTCTTGGGTGGATGCTGGATGCTGATGGCAGGGCTTCATTTGATGTTGGTGAAGTCAGTTCTACCCTGAACCTCAACAACTTGAAATCATAAGCAGTAAATAGGCAGACACAGATGGAGATCTAGGTAAGTTTGGAAATAACTGAAGACTTATCTTTGGAATGAGCTTTCACATTACATGGGCGGGCTTTTACATCACGTGGGCTGATGAAGACTGATGATTCAGTCTTCATGCCTGAACCACGGGTTTACTTTTACATGGTCCACAGAGGTTCAGAAGCTCTGGCTGAGGCTAAGGAGGCAAAGCCTTCTGAGGAGTCTTTCCTGTATGATTGCTCTTGTTCTCACTCAAGGCAAGCTGGTGCTAGACAGGGATGATCCCTTTACTGTGTATGTGTTAGTGGGGGACTGAGAGGAGGATGGTGCATTTCAGCAACTCAGCTGTTAGTTCCCAGCAGCTGGTGGGTGCCATGAGAAGTGCAATTAAGCCCCTGACCCCCCTCCCCCAGCTCCTCCCCAGCCTAGCTACTCCCTTGCAAACCCTTTCTTCGTGGGCAGAATGTTCCCTTGCCAGCTGCCTGCTCCTCCAGGTGTTTCCTGTACTCTCTATTTACTGGCTGGGGTGGCTGAGGGTGGAGAGAGGGAGTCTGTTTTGGTTTCCTGTTAGCCAATGGCAGTGGGTGTGGGGAAGGCTGGCGCTCCTGTATCTAGGGGGAGCTAACCACAAGCAGCAGCTGCCTCCTGACACCTGCCTTTCTGAGAGCATGTAAACAGTTAGGGGACGAGGGAGGAAGAAGGCCTCCTGAGCAGGGCAGACACTTCTGTTCGGTCAGGCTGGAAGAGGTCATTTCATAAGCTCCCAACCTCCATTCTTTCCAGGGGGGAAAGGGTGGGGTCAGGTCACCCCAATGACCTCAGGCCTCCCTGGACTCTAATCTCTACATGAGAAGCCCAGGTAGTACTGGGTCTACCTCCACTGTCTACCTGCCATGAAATGGATGGCACTGCCTCCCCAGGCAAAGGCCAGGAGTGGAGAGCGAGACCTTGGCAAAGCCTCCATTTCCTTACCTGAGACCTGAAACAGCTACACATTCCCCACCTTCACCAAGGTCCCCAAATCCAGCCAGCTTGGTGCAGAGACACTGTCACGGGTTTCCCCCTGGCCACTCTTCCCAAGAAGGCAGGACAGTATTTTTGGTTTGTTGCAGTTTTTCCAATCCAGTTGAAATGATACACTTGTCTATGTATGTGTGATCCTTCCCTTCTTTCCTTCCCTCCCTCATCCCCTTCCCTCCCCTCCTCTCTCCTCCCTTCCCCTCTTCTTCTCCCCTCTTCTCCCACTTCTCCCCTCCTCTCCCCTCCCTTCCCTCCTCCCCTCTCCTCTCCTCTCCTCTCTTTTCTCTTTCCTTGACAAGGTCTCACTCTGTCACCCAAGCTGGAGTACAGTGGCACCATCTTGGCTCACTGCACCCTCAAATTCCCGGGTTCAAGCAATCCTCTTGCCTCAGCCCCCGGAGTAGCTGGGACTACAGGCGTGCACCACCACACCCAGCTAATCTTCATATTCTTTATAGAGACAGGATTTTACCATGTTGCCCAGGCTGGTCTTAAACTCCTGAGTTCACGCTATCCACCTGCCTCGGCCTCCCAAAGTGCTGGGATTACAGGCTTGAACCACCATGCCTGGCCTCCTCAGAGCAGTTCTATAGCATTGACATTATTACCCTTAGACTGTAGAGGAAGAAACAGGCTCAGAAGGTTAAGCAAAATTACCTATGGGCACAGTGCTAGTAACTGGCAGTCAGGCTTGAATCCAAGACTGACTGAATAAACAAGAAAAATTATAGCAAACAACCCAGGGTTTCTTATGTTTCTTCTTGTCACGCTTAGTGCTCTTGTCTTCTGGATTCTAGGAACTTTTACACAAAGCCACAGTTCACTTTGCAGATAGCCTACATAAGATAAGCAGTCTGACATCCCAGTCTTACACATCTCTTATGCCCAAGCTCAGATCACCTCTCCTCTGTGAAATCATTGCCATTCATCCTAATGTTAGGTGATGTTTTAAAAACCTGCTGAGTTCTTACAGCAAGAAGCCACTGCTCCCTCCCACTGTGTGTCTTCCATGGGTTTCTTTTTTGTGTATATGTCATATTTCAATTTAAATATAAGGTCCTAGAGATCACCTCTGATGTTGCCCAACATTCACACAGCATCTGCATCTAACACAGTACCTGGACATGAAGCTGAAGCAAGAGGGACTGAGGAGACTAGATAGTCTAGATGCTTTAGGGAAGCCTCTCTTTTACCCTTTGTCTCACTCCAATTGGAGAAATCCCAGTTCAATACAGACTGGCCAGCCAGATGGGTTGCTTCACCCTAATCAGGAATTTCAGCTGCTGACTTCCCAGCCCTGGTACAAAACACAGGAACTCCTTGTGTTCATTGTGACCCACTTCCTTACTGGAGCCTGCTCAGGGTGGAGGCTTAGGTCTCAGTGGCTTCTCTTGTTTTCACAAAAGGAAAATAATCTCTGTCATAATTACTGCTTGACCAATAGGCTTCTCCTGTGACAACTCCCTGGGGGAAAGAAAATGGAGCACTGACTGTTTCCTAGGATGAAATTCAAAGATATCCAGGGGGGTGGGCCAGGATGTAAAAGCACTTGTTGAGATTATGGTGCTATTTGAATGTGAGGGATTGATGTGGATCCATGCTGGCCTTGGAGTCCAGAGGTTGTTATCTGGGTCTAGCATGGGGCCAGCTGCAGCTGGCAGCTTGAAACCCATTTTTATGGTTTTGAGTTTTCAGCCATCAGTCTGGCAGGCAAGTAATGAGTGTCCTGCAGTAAGTGCCCTCTTATGGGCAGAGACAGGTCCTTTCGAGAAGCACAGGGAGAGAGGACAGCAGAGGAGAAAAAACAGGGATGGGTCCACAGTGTGTTGCCAGTCCAAAGGAGGTGACAGGAAAATTATATATCAAAGTACCTAAAACACTGACCACATGGGATTGAATGCAAACTAATGGAATTACACAGCATGATCTACATCAGTGCTGGGATGTTAGGTACACAAATGGAAATGATCAGAGATGGGTGAGGTTAGCCTGGGCAAGGATTGGGAAAGACAGATGTTTTGAGAAATGCCTTTGCAGCTAACATGTCTTTACTACCTTATTTATGCCCAGGAGAAGACATTTCAACCACTTCTGAGCACTGGCACTTTGGCCAACACAAACAACAGGAGGTCAGGTGGGTGGGCAAAAGAGCAGGGCATGAGGCCAGTTAGGAGAGCGTCAAGTACTGTTCCCTGTGTTCTCTGGGTAGCCACTTTCCTCCCCTGTGCTTCCCATCCTCCCCTGACACCAGCATCACCAGCTCAGCCCTCTGCAGTGGCATTTAGCCTAGAAGAACGCATGCCTGTGGCCTCAGAATCGTAACTTTACTAAACCTTTGATTAAGACATAGGGATGATTCCCTTTTATTCTGAATGTATTGACCTCAATAAATAAACTCTTAGCACCTTAACCCAGAGTTCCCCTTGAATCCTCCTAAGTCAGGCTAGATTGATGGAAGGCAGAGGGAGAAGGGAGACAAAAATCTGAGATTCAGGAGGTTGCGGGGAGGGCACTAGCCTTAGCTCAGCCTCCACCCCTACTCTCTAAAAAAAGATCTCTGCACAGCCTTAGACCTTTCTACTCTCAGTTGCCTCACGAAATAATAGATGTGAAGTACTTTGAACTACGTTTAAAGTGCTGTGCCCACTCCACTTCCTGGGAGATGTGGGTGTGGGAAACTTGAGAGGAGAGCCTTGCGCAGCTTCTTCTGTTTACCTGGTGTTGGACCGAGCATCAGCTTGCTCTCTACCACACTAGGAGGTAGGGCGGTGGGGGTTTTTAACTCCCCAATTTACAGAGAGGAAACTAGAACTTGAACAACCCAGATGACTTGCCCAGAATTACACAACACGCAGACAGTGAGCTGAGACTGGAAGCTGAGTTTTCTGACTCCTGGCCCACTCCTAGCTTCTTAATGTTTGCGGGAATGTGGGAATGATTTTAACAGAATCCCATTCTGGAACAACTCAAACTTTATCATTTAACTGCAGAGCACCCAGATCCCACTATTCCCCACCTGTCCCAGAGGCCTTGGATTTTCCATTTAAACCCATTTCTGAAGAGGCAAAACGATGCGGGTCAAGGGATGTTTGCCTGATGAAAGCCTCAAAGTACAAAGTCCCAAAGTACTGCAGCTTAGTGCTGCTGCCCCAAACTGAAGTCTTCCTTCCCAGGGGCCCTGGCTCTGCGCAGAGCTGGTCAGAAGCCCAGGAGGAGCGTGGGGGCAGAGCTTCCCCAAAGGAGGACAGATGGGCAGGCTGGCCTCAGTACCCGTGCTTTCAACAAACTTTTGTTTTCCAGCCAAACATGCAGTGTCAGTTCCCCTCTCACCTCCCGCTCCCTGGCAGCCCACCCTCTAGCCCCCATTCTGCCTTCGGGTTGGCCCTGAGGAGCCGATGGGCTGTAGAGGGACTGGGGTCTTTCTCCTTTATGACTTGGGAGAAGGATGAAAAGGAGGCTTGCAACTGGTGTGGGGCAACTGTTGCCATCTGTCTGGTGGGATGTCACCAGGGAAGGTCTCGCCCATTCACTCCTTCATGCACCGCTGGGCTTGGGCCTTTTGTTTGGTTGGCTGGGGAGGGGGGCTGCTGTAGTGGAGGGAGGCCGTGGGTGAGAGAAGCAGCTTCTTTGTGTCTGGACCAAACTTTCAGTGACTCACCAGGTTAATTTGCATGAGGATGCTGCCCAAACCCCAAACCACTCAAGTGATTGACACCCCCTTCCCACTTCACAACCTCTCCCCGCCTCCTTTGGTCACACAGCTCCCCAGAGTCGGAGGGAGATGCTCTGGCTCCTGCACTGGGATGAGGAGCAGGCCAAACCTCTGGGTTCTCTCTCTCCACCCTCATCCCTGTCCCTTTCCCAGTGTAAGGTGGATCTGGTGTCCTCCTCCCTCCCCACCCCTAGCCTGGAAGAGCTGACATCCAAAGTCCTGCTTCCTCCTTACAGCTCTTTTTGTTTGTTTTTTCGGTGCACTGGGCCTGGCAGGCGAGGGGCCAAAGCCGGAGAAAAGACCCAATAGCCACCGCCCAGCAGCTGAGCAGGAAAAGAAAGGAACTGAATAGAGGCGGTGGGGTTGGCAGCCCTCCAGTCCAGCTTCTGGTCTTTGAATAAACACCCCAGCCAGGGGCTGGGGATCAGTGTGGGGAGGCTTTGGGGCATTTAATTATTTAAAGGTCTCAATTGGATGAGCTAAGTCCCTTGGGAAGGGGGAGGACAGGCAGATGGTGTGCCCCAGGAGCTGGGAAACGGGTGCAGGGTGCAGCGGGGATGGTGGAGGATGGGGGTGGGGGAGGTAGGGGAGACTACACCAGAGGCAGGGCTCAGAGAGTAAGAACATGGCGGAATGGGAAGTGAAACCGCGGACTGCCCTCCCGACCCAAGCAGCGCCCTGAAAATAGCCTTTCCCAACACCAGCTGGGGGCAGGTTCTCAGCCTCTTCTTCCTGTACCCCTTCCCACCATTCCCCATCTTCAAAGTTGGTGTCTGCCCTAAGCGAGATCCATTTTGAAAATATACAACAAAGCTGTGACGTTTGGGGGATGAATACTTCACTTTTCTCCGGCTCTGAGGCATGCTCCAGGCTGGGCCAGGGGATCAGGACTGTACTGATGGGAGGATTTTCTTGGCTCCATTTTTTTTTTTTTGCATAGTGGTGAAATTCACCTATAAAATTCAGCATTTTATCTGTTTTCATTTTATATGGTGAAGCCACACGGGGAATCTCTTGGGAGTCTGGAGAAGTCTTGGGAGTCCTAAGGACCTTAACTGAAGTCCTGCTCTTGGGGGGCATGTGGTGTTTCAAAAGGCAACCATTCTAGCCTTTTCCTTTGGCAATATAGCAGGAAAGTCCCCGTCTTCTAGAGCAAAGTCAGATGGGTTTCCCAGGTGGAAACAGACTACCTAGGTACAGCTAGCTCTGTGACAACAGGCAAGTTACCTAACTTCTCACTGCCTGTTTTTTCATCCTTAAAATAAGATAAAAGTAGTTCCTAGTCGGTATTGTTGGGAGGATTGATTTTTGTGAGGTGCTCAGAAGGGTACCCAGCTCTTAGAAAGTACACAATAAATGTGATTAAATATTATTATGGCCATTACTAGAACAGGAGGCATTCATCTAGGTTACACAATGGAAACTGAGATAAACAGGACTGGGGAATTGAGTATGAGGCCAAAGGAAAATGTGTGAGGGGTAGAAAATGTGTGAGGGGTAGATCTGCCTCTGCCCTTTCTCCCTTGTGTAACTGAGCTATGGTTGGAAAAGTGAGACCCTATCGTCCAGACCCTTGCTTTGTGGCGGTTTGGGCATTATTGTTACATGGGGAGAAGGTGTGCGATTTACGTCTCCTGCTTCCCGGGGCCCTTTTCATTCTCTCATTAGCACCTCCGGGCCTGCAAGGTCAGCTGGTCCCTTTTGGGGCACACACTGCAATACAGCACTGTCTTCAGTTCATAGTCTGTTCTGCCTCAGAAGTTAGGTGGATGATTTTTGCACCTTCTCACGTTTGCAAGTCCCTCTTCCTCAATATGCTTGGTGGTGAGGGTAAGGGGACAACGGTGATGCCTTTCCACCCGGGACCGTTGCGGCCAAGGCGATCCCACACGGGCTGCCTGGAGTCAGACCTGTCCAGCAAGGAAGCTTCGGGGAGGAGGGAGACAGCGCCGGCTGGGCGTGCAAAGGCAGGCAGGTGACCCTCCCTCCGTCCCGGATATGGGCCCTCGGCCGCTCACCCCCCAGCCACCCACCCACGTCCCTCAATCCCCACGAGCAGCTGACTGGGACCTGAAAGTGCCACCAGACGCCCTCACAAGTCTGCTTTCTTTGCTGGGAAACAGCAGCCGCGCCGCAGCCTCCGCCCGCTCTGGGGAAGCCCCACCTTGGCAACAAGCCGCTGATTGGCTGGCTCGGGGGCGGCGCGGGCCAATCCAAGCCCGCCCTGACGCCGCGGCGTTTGGCCGAGAACTATTAAGAAAAAAAAAAAAAGAAAAAAAGAAAGGTGGGGCCGGGCGCTAGGTGGCTTCCCAACGGAGTTGCTCCCCCGGCGGCTGTGGAGAATGGGGCCTTTCAGAGAAGGGGGAGGCGGGGAAGGGGCGAGGCGGGGCGGCCGTTGGGCTTGGGCCTTTTCGCCACCTGCCGCCGGAGCTCAGGTCCCTAAAACCTCGAAGGCGTCCCCGCTTCTCAGGTCCTCCTCGCAGCTTGAGCGACTGCAGGGCCCCGCCCGGCGCTTCTTGAGCAACTGGAGGTTCGGGGGTGAACCTCTGGCCCTTTCCCGTCCTCCCTCCAGAGTCCCTCAGGCTTTGGGCATTGATTTCCCCAAGTTCGGGCTCAGGCCCTCTTCCTTTTCTTCTCGTGCCTCTGCGTGCTTGCGCCCTCCTATGGGCGCAGTTACTTGAGCTCTGTCTGCCATCGCCAATCCGCCATCCTCTAAAACCAGATTAACCACCCCCTCCATTGTACTGTGGCCACGGGCGCCAGCCTCAGCCTCTAAGACAGCATACAGTTCCCCAGCACGTACATTGTAAACGTCGTTTAATGTATCTCGAGTGACGTTGTTCCCCCGCCCCAGGACACAGAAGCACACACACACCCACAAACTCAAAGAATTCGGCACAGTAGCATTGAGATTTAGACTGAAGAGACAGGTGACCACGATTCGACTCTAGCCTCTGCCACTTTCTGGCTGTGTTACTTTGAGCAGTTACTTAACCTCTCTGAGCCTCAATTTTCTCCTATGAAAAATACTAATGATAATAATGGCACTATCTCCTCTCATTATTGTGACAAAATGCCTGGCACATAATTGCCTAATAAATGGTGATATTATTTTAGGTATTAATAACAAAGGAATGAGCATTTCTTTCTCACATTTTACCTCAGCTCACAATTCTTGGTTTAGGTGCTGGGGATAGCACTAGATCCTAAGGACATTTAAAGTCCTATGAGTAAAGTAATTTAAGACTCAGAATAAAACTTGGTATGGTTTCAAGGCCCTGGGATGGGTCCTGCGTTTGGCTCCTAGATTTTTACTAAGGGAGAATTATCTTGGCAAGACTAGATTTCTCTTTTCTTCAAGGTCTTTTCTTCACATTTCCACCTCTCAAAAATTTTTAGAACAGCAGCAAGCAAGGACTTACAACTCCCTTTTTAATAGGATTTAACTTTCTCCTTTTGTTAGGTAGAACATTCCATAAATGTTCTCTCCATATATGCACATTGACACTTAGATGGGCTTGTTTGTTTTCCCCAAATCCCTTTCCTGAAGTCTTTTCGTGTCACCTGGAGACTCACCCCTTCTGCATTCTCTTGCCTGCCCCAAACATACCACATGCTGATACATCATACATTATCTTCAGTGGACGTGGAGACTGGTTGTTCAGTGCTCACAGACCCCTGGCGGCTGTCCAGTCCTATCACCTGCTGGGCTTGGTTGATGTTTCACATTGTTAAGAACAAAAGCAGTGATGCGTCTGGGGCATTTCAGTGACGCCTGACGGCGAGGTCAGGGAAGAGGGTAAGGAACACACAAAGATGGGATACAGTTCAATGGGGAGCCAGTAAGACTGGGGTTCTGGGGTTCAGTCTTGAGTCTGTGCCTTTAGGGAGACAAGTCAATTAAACGTGCTAGGTCCCAGTTACCCTGTCTTGTAAAGTAGGCTGTATCATACCTGTATCCTTACCGCATAGATGTGTCAGGGAAAGAAATGTCATAGAAGTGAAAGCACTTTATATTTTCTGGGTTAAAAAAAAGGTGTGGCGCCGGGCACGGTGGCTCACGCCCGTAATCCCAGCACTTTGGGGGCCGAGGCGGGCAGATCACGAGGTCAGGAGATCGAGACCATCCTGGCTAACACGGTGAAACCCCGTTTCTACTAAAAATACAAAAAATTGGCTGGGCGTGGCAGCGTGCGCCTGTAGTCCCAGCTACTCGGGAGGCTGAGGCAGGAGAATGGCGTGAACCCAGGAGGCGGATCTTGCAGTCAGCCAAGATCGCGCCACTGCACTCCAGCCTGGGTGACAGAGCGAGACTCCAACTCAAAAAAAAAAAAAAAAAAAAAAAAAAAGGTGTGTGTGTGGTAGGGGTGGGTGTGTAATGGGCTATTAAATCCATTTCATGCCACTCTTTTTATTGGGCCCCAAAGAATATGATTCCACAAGTGTCATTAAAAACTTAGGAATGCAGCTCTGTGTTAACTCTTGGGGAGTATTAGCAGGAATCATATGATATGATCCCTACCTTTAAAGAATTTACAATCTAACCATGTTGCTCAGCTAACACATGAAACATTGATGTGTGGCCCTACTGTGGTTTATAACAATGGTTCCTCAACCTATCCAGTTCTGTCCTGCAATAAAAGGATCATCTGGTGATGTGACAGTGGAGCCGATCAGCGGATGTGCCTCACCCCAACCAGCACAAGTGCTGGCCCCTTACCTCTCCCTTTCTGTCCTTGGCAGTGTTACAAACCATCCTTGCTGCTGCCTTCAGTGTTCATGAGCCATGGCCTGATGCCTTGAGTCCTGGGCTTGGGATGATAGTGCATTCATTGCGGCCTTCTCTCCTTCTCACCCTTGATGCTGCCCTTCACCTGCAGTCACACAGTACCTGTTCCTGATGCTTTCCTGCCTGCACCTGCCACTGCCACTGTTCACAAATGCCAATACAGCCATTGTAGCTGCAGCTGCTACTCTGGGGTAGACCCTGGATAGGACATTGGGGGTGCTGTTGTCCCTGCCTCTTCCACCCTGGGATAAAAGGGCCATCTCCCTTCCCCCTTCTACAAGAGGAAGAAGAGTGCTAGTGTAGCCCTCTAATCTCTGCATTTGCTCCTGAGGCCAGGTAACCAAGGAAAGATGCAAGGTAGCCAGGTGCAGTGGCACACATCTGTAATCCCAGAACTTTGGGAGGCTAAAGTGAGAAGATTGCTTGAGCCCTAGGAGTTCGAGACCAGCTTGGGCAATATAGGGAAAACTTTTCTATACCAAAAAATTTTAAAACTAGCTGAGCTGCACTGAGCCATGATTGTGCCACTGCACTCCAGCCTGGGCAACAGAGTGAGACCTTGTCTCAAAAAAAAAAAAAAGTGCAAGGAGCTCATCTTTTCCCACAGCACACCTCCTTGGTGGAGGGTGTTAGACTGGGTTGGCAAGAGGACCGGTTCTGTTGCTGCATGCTCAGCAGGCAGCTCCCAGGTCCCGGTTCCGGTTTCCCAGTGCTGGGCCAGCAGACTCTGCTCCTTTCCTTTTTTTTTTTTTTTTTTTTTGAGACGGAGTCTTGTTCTGTCGCCAGGCTGGAGTGCAGTAGTGTGATCTTGGCTCACTGCAACCTCCGCCTCCCGGGTTCAAGTGATTCCCCTGCCTCAGCCTCTTGAGTAACTGGGACTACAGGCGCTCGCCACCATGCCCTGCTAATTTTTTGTATTTTAGTGGAGACAGGGTTTCACCATGTTGGCCAGGATGGTCTTGATCTCCTGACCTTGTAATCCACCTGCCTTGGCCTCCCAAAGTGCTGGGATTACAGGCGTGAGCCACCGCGCCCGGCCAGCTCCTTTCCTTTTTTCGAGGATTGCCAACAAAGTTTCAGTATAACTTCTGGGAAGGAATAGATCAGTGTAATTGCTACCATCTTTGAAAACAAAAGATGGAACATGCCAGTTAAAATTAAAAGCAATACCAAGTCCCACTTATCAGTGTCACACAATTTCTGAAGTCTGAAGCAATATTTGGCATTGGGAGGATGTAGGGACATGGGGACCCTGGTATACTGATGGTGTGAGTGAACATTTGTACAACCACTTTGGAGAGCAGTTTGACAGTATCGAGTAAAGGTAAATTGGTCATACTTCATGACTCAGCAGTTCCCTCTTGGCATATATGCCAGTGGTTCTTAACTGGTGGTGATTTTGCCTTCCAGAGAACATTTGGCAACTCTGAAGACATTTCTGATTGTTCCCACTGGGGTGTAGTTAGAGGGTGGGTGCTACTGGCATCCAGTGGATAGAGTCCAGGGATGCTGCTGAACATCCTACAATACACAAGCAGCCCCCACTCCACCAGCAAAGAATTATTCAGCACCACATGCCAAAAACTACCACTGTTGAGAAGCCCTGGTATATATCCTAGAAATGCTCTCAAATGCAAGCCCAAAAGAGAAGTGAAAGGATGTTCACTGCATTATGTTTTTAACAGTAAAATATTGGAAAACTATCTAAACGTCCTTCAAAAGGAGAAGAGAGAAGTAAATTTACAGGAGCTAGAATGAATGAACTGGAACTATGAGAATCAATATGGATAGATCTTAGACACCCAATGTTCGGGGAAGAAACCAGAGTGATACATAATGTATGATGCCACATGTAAAATCTAAAGAAACAAACAACTCTCTATGGCTACATAAATATGTAATAAAAGTATAAAAATACACCAATCTCAGAAGAGCATTTACCTCTGCAGGGGAAGGGAGATGAATGGGAAGAGGTAAAAGGAGACTTAAAATATAGTTCCAATGTTCTTTTTTTTTCTTAAAAATTTACCTAAAGCAAATATGACAGAATGTTAACATTTGTTAACTCTGGTAAACAACTAGATGGTAAATACATTGGTCTTTGTTATATTGCTTTCTGTGCTTCACTGTAGGTTTTTAATTAATTAATTTTTTTTTTTTTTTGAGACAGTCTCACTCTGTCACCCAGGCTGGAGTGCAGTGGTGAGTTCTTGGCTCACTGCAACCTCTGCCTCCGGGGTTCAAGCGGTTCTCCTGCCTTAGCCTCCTGAGTAGCTGGGACTACAGGCAGGCTCCACCACACCTGGCTAATTTATGTATTTTTTAGCAGAGACAGGGTTTCGTCATACTGGACAGGCTGGTCTGGAACTCCTGACCTCATGGTCCGCCTGCCTCGGCCTCCCACAGTGCTGGGATTATAGCATGAGCCACTGCACCCGGCCCATTGTAGGTTTTTAAAAGTTTCATAATTAACAAAGTAAGGAAAGATACAGACTCAAGAATAAAAGTGAGCTGGGCGTGGTGGCTCACACCTGTAATCCCAGCACCTTGGGAGGTCAAGATGGGAGGAAGGCTTGAGGCCAGGAGTTCGAGACCAGCCTGGTCAGCATGGCAAGACCCCATCTCTATTAGAAAAGAAAAGAAAGAAAAGGAAAAGAAAAGAAAAGAAAAGAAAAGGATAAATGTGAGTTGTCATCTGTATACACCAACCCAGGATGTCCCCTTTTCTTTTTCTCTGCTGTTTAGTTTGGTGAATAGACGATGCCTTCCTTGGGCTGTTTTTGCTGTTGTCAGGGTATCATACACCAAGGCCTGGGTTTCAGGTGCCTGGGACTTAGTGCTTGGCTGGTATTCCATTCCCAAGGCCCTGGAAACATCTGTCTGACATCCTAGATGAAGCTCTTTTGTCTGCCTTATGGAAGTCCCTGTTAGATGGCACAGTGCATTGAATAGTGTCCCCCCAGGATCCATGTCCACCCGGAACCTTACAATATGACTTATTTGGAAACAAGGTCTTTGCAGTTATAATTAATTAGGGGTCAAGATGAGATCGTAAGATAAATATGTACAAATATTACGTGTCCGTAATAAATAAAAATAAAAATAATTTAAAAGATGAGATCCTAATGAATTAGGGCGGGCCTGAAATCTGATGACTGGTGTCTTTTTTTTTTGTTTTTGAGACAGAGTTTCACTCTTATTGCCCAGGCTGGAGTACAATGGCGCAATCTCAGCTCACTGCAACCTCCACCTCCTGGGTTCAAGCAATTCTCCTGCCTCAGCCTCCCGAGTAGCTGGGATTACAAGCACCTGCCATGACAGCTGGCTAATTTTGTATTTTTAGTAGAGATGGGGTTTCACTATGTTGGCCAGGCTGGTCTCGAACTCCTGACCTCAGGTGATCCACCCAGCTGGGTCTCCCAAAGTGCTGGGATTACAGGTGTGAGCCACCGCTTCCGGCTATGACTGGTGTCTTTATAAGAAGCAGAAGACACAGAGACAGGGAGAAGATGGCCATGTGAAGACACAGGCAGGTGAAGACTGGAGTTATACTAGCACAAGCCAAGGCACACCAGGAGCCACCGGAAGCTGAATGAGGCAAGGAAGGATTCCTAGAGCCTTTGGAAGAAGCATGACTCTTCCAACCCTTGACTTGGGACTTCTGGCCTCTGGAACTATGAGAAAATAAATACATCTTAAAAATTGTTTTAAGCTACTCAGTTTGTGGGTACTTAGTTACGGCAGCCCTAGGGAACAAATGGAAATGGGTTCTGTGGATCTGAAACCAGATTCAAAGCAGTGTTAGCTTTCACCAGGATGTAATGTTTCTGGATTAAGAAGGAGGTGTTTGTATGTGGCAGTCCTAATTTATATAAGGTCATTCTATACCCCTGTTGGTGTCTCTCTTACCCAGTTCCACAGAGCTGTCTTGGCGGCTGGTATATGGATGAATGCAAGGCCAGGCATGGTGGTTCACGTCTGTAATCCCAGCACTTTGAAGGGCTGAGGCAGGAAGATGGCTTGAGCTCAAGAGCTTAAGACCAGCCTGGGCAACATAGCAAGACCCTGTCTCTACAAAAATTGAAAACCAAATTAGCTGGGCATGGTGGCGGGCACTCGTGGTCCTAGCTACTTGGGAGGCTGAGGTGGAAGGATTGCTTGAGTCTGGAAGTCAAAGCTGCAGTGAACCACGATTGAACCACTGCACTCCGGACTGGGTAACAGAACAAGACCCTGTATCAAGGGGGAAAAAAAAGATGAATACACCTCACAAACCCCTTCCACAGATTTCTTGAAAGGAAAATCTTCTATTTTTTGGCTGTTCGGCATCTGAGCCCTTTATTTATTTTGGGAAATTCCCCACTATGTGAGACAGAGCCTGACTCCTATTATTAAATATGAGATTGCCAGATACTCACCTCCCAGTCTCACTTGCTGGTAGGGCACTAGCACCTGACTTGGTTCTGCCAGTTTGACTTGGAATTGAAAGTTAATGACATGATAAAGCAAAGGCCCTGTGGAACCCACCCTGATGACGGTAGGGCAGTGATGGCAGTGGCCTCCAGATTCCATAGGCAGGAACAGCAGCAGTTCTCATAAATGGAGCTCCCGAGTCTGTGCCAGGGCGGGGTGGGGGGTCTTTATGGACATGAACTTGGGTCCTTGGGTGTTGTTTCTGATTGCATGCCCTCAAGCTTGGTCTGGAGCCCTCCCAGAACTACCTGATATGCCATCCCCCTTTAAACGAACAAACGAATGAATTCTCGTTCGGTTTAAATCAGCTAACTTCAGTTTCTGTTGTTTGCAAACTAAGAACTGGGACTGACACAACCCAGCCTCTAGCTGGTGGTCTGGCCCCAAATGGTCCTTGATGATTATTTCTTGGACTTCTAGGACATGAATGTTTAAAAATATTCTGTTTTGGCCGGGCCCAGTGGCTCACGCCTGTAATCCCAGCACTTTGGGAGGCTGAGGCAGGAGGATCACGAGGTTAGGAGATCGAGACCATCCTGGCTAACACGGTGAAACCCCATCCCTACTAAAAATACGAAAACGAAAAATTAGCTGGGTGCAGTGGCGGGCGCCTCTAGCCCCAGCTACTCAGGAGGCTGAGGAAAGAGAATGGTGTGACCCCAGGAGGCGGAGGTTGCAGAGCGAGACTCTGTCTCAAAAAAAAAAAAAAAGTCTGTTTTATTGTCCTATGAAAACATAGGTATTTATTAAAATGTGTCATAATTTTTGGCTCAGAAAACATAATAAGTGAGGCCAATGAGAGATGCTTTTCATAATTTTAAGGTGCCTATGGGCTGAGAGTCCCCTTAGGGGAGGACGGGCCAGGAAACACCACCTGACACTTGCTCTGGGCCAAAGCCCTCAGGGCTGTTCTGGGTCCACTCCCCTGCTGCCATAAGGACATCCCCTCTGCTCCTGGCTTACCCTTGCTACAGGGCTTGGAACTGCTTATGCCCCTGACGCCTTGACCGTGTGTATACCTTGATTGTATATATCTGTTTCTACTTTGGGACTTGAGTTTTCTGGCTCCTTCCTTGGAATAGCTTTCCGCACACCTTCTTGTGCAAACTGCCATTGTTGGTCTTGTTATCTGACTCAGATCTACCTCTGGGACTGCCAGCTAAGCCTGGCACTGATAGCATGCTTCTGTTATTGTCCCTGCCTGCCTCCAGAGTCCTATTTTGCCAAAACTCATGGCTCTGATGAACACTTGTGGAGAAAATGTGGGGATTATTGGGGTAGAATACAAGGACAAAGCTGCCGATTCTCTATTTCTGGTGGGTTGTAAGAAAGTTCAAGACTGACCCCTCTGATTTCCAATACTCTTGCTTATGTAGGTAGGTCTTCTTATTGCCTCTTGGAACTCTGACCCATTTCCTGTTTTTATTTCTTAAACTGGGTCAAATGTACTTCTGTTCTTTCTCCCCTACGTGTAGCTCACAATCTGGACACATAGATGGAAACAGCTCATTTATCTTTAGTGTTTGCAGTTTCTTTTGGAGCCCAGCATGG